>NC_000001.11:245426545-245578060 GCF_000001405.40 Homo sapiens | reverse complement strand
CGCAGTTCCACAAAGCTCTTCCGGTTAGGGGATGCATTGCCCAGAGTTCCACAAAGCTCTTCCGTGTAGGGGATGCACTGCCAGGAGTGCCACAAGGCTCTTCCGGTGAGGGGATGCATTGCCGAGTTCCAGAAAGCTCTTCCTTGTAGGGGAAGCATCGCCCGGAGTTCCACAAAGCTCTTCCGGTGAGGGGATGCATCGCCCGGAGTTCCACAAAGCTCTTCCGGTGAGGAGATGCATCGCCCGGAGTTCCACAAAGCTCTTCCGGTGAGGGGATGCATCGCCCGGAGCTCCACAAAGCTCTTCCGGTGAGGAGATGCATCGCCCGGAGTTCCACAAAGCTCTTCCGGTGAGGAGATGCATCGCCCGGAGTTCCACAAAGCTCTTCCGGTGAGGAGATGCATCGCCTGGAGTTCCACAAAGCTCTTCCGTGTAGGGGATGCACTGCCGAGTTCCACAAAGCTCTTCCGTATAGGGGAAGCATCGCCTGGAGTTCAACAAAGCTCTTCCATGTAGGGGATGCATCGCCCAGAGTTCCACAAAGCTCTTCCATGCTGTTGGCTCTTTTGTCTCCTAAACCCTCTTCTCTCCCTGGAGATTGTGGAAGTGCTCTTGACTAATTCTCTGAGCTCTGTGTGGGTTGAGAGCTTAATTCTGTTGCCCAACCTGGAAAGGGCAGATGGGGGAGTCGGGACACCCGTGTCTTATGCCTGACTCTGTTATGACTTAGCTGTGTGACAGGGGACATTTTTGTTGGTCACAACTTGGAGGGTGCTACTGGCATCCAGAGGATAGAAGCTTGAGATCCCAGGAAATGCCCTACAGTGCACCAGGCATCCCCCTACGACACAAACATCTGGTCCATGACATCACTCGTGCCCCTGTGGAAAAACTCTGCCCTAGATTTGTTTTCTCACCTGTAAACTGAGAGGTTTGGATTAGATCATTTTAAAAATCATTTTCAAAGACAAACTTTGAAAAGTCGATGGTGAAGCATAAAATTTTACCTTAAATTTAGATATGAATCATAACATAAATGATGCTGAGAAGCAAAAATGAATCTCCCAAAGTATATAAGTGAAATGACAGTAGCTCTTATCAGTAATAAGGGACTGTGCCTTGTGGCTAAGGTAGCCCCTTAAGCTATAAAGATGTGAGAAATGGCATTTTATCAACAAGGTATCCAACAAGGCATTCATTTAGAGAGAAGGAAAAAAATCCCAATTTCCAAATCCCAGGCTTCCACTTAGGAGAGGCTGGAGGGAAGTGATACACACAAACCCCTCCTGTCTAAACAATGTGCCAGACAGAAAAAGGCCAGAGGTGATTCGTGTGGAAATGGGTTTTTACAGGAGCTGCAATAAAGAACCCCCTTTCCCAAGCCCTACTGAAATGAAATGCTAGCTATATAATCAATGTCATGAAGCAGAAAAGGCCTGGGGAACACCAGGGAAACCTATCTACTGGCCAGGCACACGGAGTGCAGGTCCAGAGCTGGTGAGCAGGCTCTCTCACCAGGACGTGTGACAATCATCTCCTGCTGTGTAGCTTGGGGCCCCCTCCCACTGGGCTGTCACGCTGACAGAGGCTGACCTCACAGGTCTTCTTGGAGGGTCTCAGCATTGGTATTCATCCCTGAAAAATTCACTACACCTCCACAAACACAACTGATAGCAAATATGATTACAGGGAGTTCTGGGGGAGCTGAGGAGACAGGAGACGTGTTATGAAAGGGAAAATAAAACTCCCAAACCACCAACAATGACACTTCACGTATAGATGGCTGCCCAGTGGAATGGGAACGCTGCGTCCCGGTAACTCTGGAGTCTATGTTCAAGGAAGATCTAGATAATTTAGAAATATCAGTCTGGGCTCATGAGGATCACCTGCGCTTGTGATCCTCTGAGGCTTAATTGTTATATTTCATTCTTACAGTTTTCAGATTGGGAGAAAATGGGGCACTCAAGAGCCATTTGGACTTTTCAAAGGTCAGGGTCTGAAGAGCCTGATGCTTAGACACTGATAGGGACCCTGACTCTAAAAACCTTTGCAGGAGTGGAGGTGCAGGCATGGTGGGTGGGAGGTGTGATCTCTGGCTTAGACACCAGCATGAAACACCCCCGGGAAGCATCAGGAAATGTCTTAAGTAAATGCCAGGAAGGGGAGGAGGCAAATGAGAGAGTTCAGGCCACAGTTGCCTCATTTTCATAGTTCAAGAAGTCATTCATGAAGAATGTCACACACACACACAAAACAGATAGAAAAGGTAGCCTCTGCCAAGGTCTCCTTTCCTCGTATGGACATTTATGATATTATGATATTGACAGCACTAATAATATTGTGGATTTTAAATCTTCATTTCCCCAACATTCTCACCCACATGGTAATTTGGGTGATTTAGACAAGCCACTCTCTGAGGGGAAAGTTGGAGAATGCAGAAGTTAGTGCAGTCAGCAACTCCAGCAACCTGACATATCTAAGAGTTGGAATATCGAAGGAAAATCTAAAAACAGGTCAGTGAGTGAAATCTGACCTCTACCTAGCCATGAATAGATGATTGTTTTTATTTTTCTACATTTTTTTTTTGAGATGGAGTCCCACACTGTTGCCCAGGCTGGAGTATAGTGGCACGATCTCAGCTTACTGCAACCTCTGCCTCCCGGGTTCAAACAATTCTCCTGCCTCAGCCTCCCGAGTAGCTGAGACTACAGGTGTGCACCACTATGCCTGGCTAATTTTTGTATTTTTAGTAGAGATGAGGTTTCACCATGTTGACCAGGCTGGTCTCGAACTCCTGACATCAGGTGATCCACTCGCCTCTGCCTCCCAAAGTGCTGGGATTACAGGCGTGAGCCACCGCCCCCAGCCTACCTTTTTCTTTGAAAAAGATATAAAAGGCCAGGCGCGGTGGCTTGAGCCTGTAATCCCAGTACTTTGGGAGGCCGAGGCGGGTGGATCACAAGGTCAGGAGATGGAGACCATCTTGGCTAACATGGTGAAACCCCGTCTCTACTAAAAATACAAAAAAATTAGCCGGGTGTGGTGGCGGGCGCCTGTAGTCCCAGCTACTCGGGAGGCTGAGGCAGGAGAATGGCGTGAACCCGGGAGGTGGAGCTTGCAGTGAGCCGAGATCGCGCCACTGGCGCTCCAGCCTGGGCAACAGAGCAAGACTCTGTCTCAAAAAAAAAAAAAAAAAGAAAAAAAAAAGAAAAAGATATAAAAAAGACAATCTTCCCTAAAGAGCACAATTCCTATTTTCACCATTCTTTGAAAAGGAAGATGGTGATGTGCAGGGCATACTTGGGGCAACAGAGAAGCCACCCTGACTCCCCGTCACACCCACGATGTTAGTCACAACGTTAGGCAGTGCCTTGCCTGGCCTTTGCAACCAGGAGACTCAGGCAAGAGCAGCAGTCAACGGCCCTGCCATGGACTTGAGGGGCAGAAGGTGGACTCCAACACAGCCTGAACTCCAGAACCTTCCAGGGGAGACACCGGCCCTGGAGCAACCAGCCTGTTCATGGCTCAGCCAGCCTGGCCACACCTTCCTGCTCTCAGATCATCTTGCCTGGCTCAGTCCTTTGCTTCTTGGGCACTTATTCAAATTAAATGGTCTCGGTCAGGCATGGTGGCTCACACCTGTAATCCCAGCACTTTGGGAGGTCGAGGCGGGCAGACCACCTGAGGTCAGGAGTTCGAGACCAGTCTGGCCAACAAGGTGAAACCCCATCTCTACCAAAAATACAAAAATTAGCCTGGCATGGTGGCACATGCCTGTAATCCCAGCTACTCGGGAGGCTGAGGCTCAAGAATCGCTTGAACCCGGGAGGTGGAGTTTGCAGTGAGCCGAGATCACGCCACTCACTCCAGCCTGGACAACAGAGCGAGACTCCATCTCAAAAACAAATTAAATGGTCTCTAGGAACTACTGAGGTTGGATCTGAAACCACCAGCCAAACCAAAACATGTCAGTCCTCATTCTCAGATCTTAAAGCAGTCTTCCCTTACCCACGGTTTTGTTTTCCAAGGTTTGAGTTACCCACAGTCAACCTTAGTCTGAAAATATTAAGTGGAAAATTCCAGAAATAAATAATTCATAAGTTGTAAACTGCACACCATTCTGAGTAGTGTGATGAAATTTCACCCCATCTCATTTCGTCCTGCCTGGGATGTGAGTCTTCCTTTTGCCCAGCACCTCCTGCTGTCTACACTGCCTGCCTGTTAACCACTCAGTAGCCGCCCTGGTTACCAGATCAGAAAAACAGCACATACAGGGCTCGGTACTTTCTGAGGTCTCAGGCATTCACTGGGAGTCTTGGAAGGCTATCTGAGGATAAGGGGGAACTACTCTATAGAGGAAATTGTTCTTTTTTTTTCCTTGGCCAGTTTGCAATGAGCAAAAGCAAATTTCTGCCTCGGGAGGGGTCAGTGAGATATCAAATAAGTTAAAAAATAAGCAATAAGATGATCCACAAGGAACTGACTTCAGAGGAAGCTAATCTTCACTCATTATTATTATTCTTTTTTAATTTTTTTGTGAGACAAAGTCTAGCTCTGTCACCCAGGCTGGATTGCAGTGGCTCGATCTTGGGTCACTGCAACCTCCACCTCCTGGGTTCAAGCGATTCTTCTGCCTCAGCCTCCTGAGTAGCTGGGACTATAGGCACCCACCACCACGCCCGGCTAATTTTTTGTATTTTTAGTAGAGACGGGGTTTCGTCATGTTGGGCAAGCTGGTCTCAAACTCCTGACCTCGTGATCCACCCGCGTTGGCCTCCAAAAGTGCTGGGATTACAGGCGTGAGCCGCTGCTCCCGGCCTCATTAATTTTAAAAGCACTGTGACCTCGGTAAACTTTGGGCCTGTAATGTGAAAAATCAGCATTTTAATTTAGATAAAATTTGCCCTGTGAGTCTCATGTGTAACCCTCTTGGGGACAATGACGGAGCATAACCCTTTGTTTCTGGTCTGTTTTCTTGGGATTTCTCTTTTGCTTTTGCTTGTTATTCCGTGTGTGTTTTAGTTGGACAAGAAAGGTTTTATTCTTCCTCAGGTTCTGGGCAAAATGTCAAGAACTCCATTGATATGTGTATTTATAAAGAATTTTACGCTACAGAATCTGTTCAGAGCAGGTGGCAGGAGGAGGTGAGGACGTGTTTCTCCATTTCTGCTTGGGACAGGTGCCCTTGCCAACAGAGGACGCCTGACCATTTCCCCGCAAAGACACATCTGAGCCACAAAAGGCCTTATCAGTTGATCTGCTTTTGGTCACACAGGCATTTCATAGGGTCATGCTAAATGAAGCGAACAACATACACTATACGTAGGTAATACATTATGAAGTAAATGTGGGCATTAGAATGGGATGAATGTGAGAAGTAAGGAATAGTATCATCGGGATGATTCCTTCTAGGAAAGGCAACTGAATATTTCATTTTTAAAATTTCATTTTTAATTTTAATCATGAGATAAAATTCACATAACATAAAATTTCCCACTGCAGCGAGTAGGAATTTTAACTGAGTGTTCACCGGGAGGGTCCTGAGGTCAGTGATGGCTACGGTGCTAGCAGCGCAGGATACCGTGCCTGAAAATGGGCTGGAGAACAAGAGAAGTGTGTCCTGCCACCTTTCCCGGGGCCACACCCTCAAACCAGCCACCCTACTCCAGTGGCACTTCTGCTCCCAATAAGAGTTGGGAGCTAAGTGATGAATCCCCCAGAACCTCAATGTCCTCAGTGTCGGAAACACAAAAGCACGTCTACCTCCTTCTGTCTCCAAAAGGGATCACAACCCTGACCAGGCATGAAAGGGTGCTCTGAAACATTCCAGGCCAAACGACATTAGGTAAATAAGTCCTGAGCAAGGGCAAACCATTCCTACGGCCACGTAGTAAGAGTCAGCCTGTCTCTGTTGGGGCAGGTACACAAGCCCTTGGTCTTGTAGCCTTTGCAAAGCGAGGTCGTGAGATCTGGACTCTGTGCACAGTTGCCACACTTGTCATACTTAGCAGATAAAAGCTATTCCCTGAGGATATTGTTCTAACAGAATCCCCCATTGCTAAGGCCAGCAGCACGCTCATCTTGTCTCAATCAAGGCAGAGTAAAGAGGGAAGCCAGCCATGCGTGTCTGTCACTCGGACGATTAGCCCCTTTGATGGTAGATACCTCTTTGAAAGGCTGGCTCTTACAAGCGCCTGATTTCTCCAGGAAATAATTTTCCTACGTCTCCCAAGGACAGAGAAGGATGAATGTCCTTACAGGGCGTGAACTAGAGGCTCACAAAAGAATCTGTGGAAATATAGCGAAGGTTCCTTGGTAACCTCTGACCAAACCCAAACCTTTGAGAAACAAAAGCGACAATACAGAATCCACTGTCTACACAGACAGCTTGTTAGGATGACTCCCCTCCTGAGCTACCACTTAGTTTTCTAAAATCGTGAGGAAGGCTTAATTGATTCTGTTACTTAAAGTGTTTAGAGAGCCTGACAAAAGGAAGGCAAAAGCTAATGGACAGGCACCTCTCAAGAAAAGCCAATCAGGCAGGAATTACAGAGCAGTTTATACAACATCAGTTCTGATCTGATCACTTTCTCATCAGTGAAGGAATAGTGGAGATGGAATGACAAAGAGGCAGGCTCTATCTTTCTGGAAATCTGACTTATCTGCCCCTTGATCTAGGGACCAAATAACTCTTCAGAGCTGGGTAGGTGTCTTTCTATCAACAGCGTTGATTTGGAAGTTGCATGGTATTGTGATTAAAAACATAGGTGGGGCTTGGGAGGGGAGCCCCGGTCAGTCCTAACACCACCCTTAGGTACATCACTAACATCAAGCAACGCAACTCCCATAGGACCAAAGGCAAGTACAGGGCTTTCCACACAAGGGGTACTTACTAGGTGTTTTGCTGAATCACTAAATGTGTGAACGAATCCAGGTCTTTGTCATGGAGGGACTTAGGATCTAACTGGAGAAGAGGACATGATAGAAACAAGACAGGATATGATGCAGCTTTGTTATTTCCCATGATGAACACATGGATTAGAAAGCAGATACTATTATCATTCTCGCTGATATATTTTCACTCATTATGTTAGATTTTAACATGTTAGATTTGATGATATCTGGAAGGCAATGTGAACACAGAATCAGAAGAAAGAATATGTGGCTCTAACACATAGCACAATAAGACCAATATATCCTCATTCTGGGAAACAAAATAACATAAAACAAAACAAAATACAACAATTTCAGTTTGAGCATCAGCTGACTTTTGCGACCTTATGTTTAATGATGTTTAACACTGAAGGGCTCGTGGACTCACACAAATTGTCTACCATCCACAGAGGTCCACAGTCGAAGAGCAAACACCAAGAGCTGGTGTGAATTAGAATAAGGTGTAAGGGACACAGGTATGCTCAGAAATCTCTGAAAAGCCTTTCCTGGCCCATGCCTCTCAGAGCCTCCCTGCCTCTGTGCCCACAACCCATGGGGGTGCCAAACGAAGGGAACAGACATGAATTCATATTCCCAAGATCCAAAATACTTACGGGAGGCATCAAGGAGGTAAGACCAGCATGTGGAAGGTAATGGAAAAATCCAGTATAATCATCCAGAAAGCCCCAGTTGGTATCAGTGGATGTGATGAGAAAAAGACAGATGCCAGTAACATCACGAGGAAAAAATTAACAGAATTTGGTGATGGACCGAATGTGGGATGTGCAGAAGAAACACAAAAATGATGCTGAAGTTTCAAGCCTGAGTGGCATCATTAACCTGAATTTCAATTCTCTCATCTATAAAGTGGAAATCAAAAATATTTTTCTCAGGCCAGGCATGGTGGCTCACGCCTGTAATCCCAGCACTTTGGGAGGCCAAGACGGGTGGATCACGAGGTCAGGAGATCAAGACCATCCTGGCTAACACGATGAAACCCCGTCTCTACTAAAAATACAAAAAAATTAGCCGGGTGTGGTGGCGGGCGCCTGTAGTCCCAGCTACTCCGGAGGCTGAGGCAGGAGAATGGCGTGAACCCAGGAGGCGGAGCTTGCAGTGAGCTGAGATCATGCCACTGCACTCCAGCCTGGGCGACAGAGCAAGACTCCGTCTCAAAAAAAAAAAAAAAAAAAAAAAAAATTCTCTATTTACAACGTAGGTTTCCCTCAAGGGAAAGATAAGTGATCATTAAAAAAAAAAAAAAAAGAAGGCCCAAAGAACAACAAAAGAACTATATTGGATCATCAATCAAGGTGTTTGTTTGTTTGTTTTGTTTGAGACAGGGTCTCACTCTGTCACCCAGGCTGTAGTGCAGTGGTGCAATCATGGCTCACTGAAACCTCCACCTCCTGGACTCAAGTGATCTTCCCACCTCAGCCTCCCGAGTAGCTGGAACTACAGGCATGCACCACCACATCCAGCTAATTTTTGTTTTTTGTTTGTTTGTTTATTTGTTTCTTTGAGATGGAGTCTCGCTGTGTCGCCCAGGCTGGAGTGCAGTGACAGGATCTTGGCTCACTGCAACCTCTGCCTCCCAGGTTCAAGCAATTCTGCCTCAGCCTCCCGAGTAGCTGGGATTACAGGTGCCTGCCACGATGCCCGGCTAATTTTTTTGTACTTTTTGTAGAGACAAGTTTCTGCCATGTTGCCCAGGCTTGTCTTGAACTCCTAAACTCAAATAATCCTCCCGTCTCAGCCTCCCAAAGTGCTGGGATTACATGTCCATCCAATCAAAGGCTTCTTGACTAATCAAAAAGCCCCTAGCTGAATCCTCCAGTTCTGTTATCTTTAAGGGGAACTTTTTCTTAAGGCTCGGTGGGATACTTTGGGAGACAGTCAATGTACAATGGAGTAAACAAAGAGAAAGAAGGAGAACAAAGTGGTTACTTGCTTACTTCTCTGGCTTCAAATTCAAACAATTTCCAGCAAAGGGCTCTAGATCCTCCTCTAATGACCTATCACAACATTTATTCATTGACGACAAGGAATATTCTTCTTCACAACCAACCAAACCCTGGATGCACCTTAAAGCTATTTCTCATCTGAGCCCAGTGAGCACGGGGCAAAACCAATCATGTTCATCATCTTAAACCTGGAAATAGTTGTAATCTCCTCCTGCTGAGAGTAGGAAATTCACAGGATTTAATCTCTAGTTTTAGAATCATTTGAACTGTATTCATCTTGTATCCATTCTGGTTCTGCCCAATTCAAAAGCATAGCTTAGATGAAGCTTTAAGATTCTCAAAGATCATGAAACTCTTGGGATTGTTTATGATTTCCCATATCCTTGACCCTTGCTGTGACACTAAATGAAGAGTCAGAACATGCAAGACACAAAATCAACTACTTCTCTGTGTTCTGAGTTTCATTTAAGAATCCTCTTAAGGTACCCCCATGAGACCCTGTGACGCCCAGGGCCAGCTGTGATGTTGCTGGTTCGGACCAGCAATAAACCGCTAGCTCCCTGTTCATTTTTATGCCTTTGCATATAGCAAAGGAAATACCTCAAACTATGTAATGTCTCACATGCCTTTCAAGCCATTTTCTTTTTCCTTTTTGAGACAAGGTCTCACTCTGTTGCCCAGGCTGAAGGGCAGGGATATGATCATAGCTCACTGCAGCCTCAACCTCCTACGCTCAAGCGATCCTCCTGACTTGGCCACCCACCAGGACTACAGGCATGCACCACCACACCTGGCTAATTTTTAAAAAACATTTTTTGTGGAGATAGAGTCTCACTCTGTTGCCCAGGCTGAACTCCTGAGCTCAAGTGATCCTGCTGCCTTGGCTTCCCAAAGTGTTGGGATTACATGTATGAGCCACGGTGCCTGGCTCAGGCCCTTTGAGAGCTTCTTTTTTTTTTTTTTTTTTTTTTTTTTTTTTGAGATGGAGTTTCACTCTGTTGCCCAGGCTGGAGTGCAGGGACATGATCTCGGCTCACTGCAACCTCACTGCAACCTCCACTGAACCTCCCAAGTTCAAGCAATTCTCCTGCCTCAGCCTCCTGAGTAGCTGGGATTAACCCCGGCTATTTTTTTTAATTTTTAGTAGAGACGGGGTTTTGCCATGCTGGCCAGGCTGGTCCTGAACTCCAGACCGCAGGTGATCTGCCTGCCTCCACCTTCCAAAGTGCTGGGATTACAGGTGTGAGCCACCGTGCCCGGCCCCTTTAAGAACTTTTCATTTCCCTTGAATTCAAACCCAAAACTCTTAACTCAGATGAAAATTAGTGGACCAGGAATGAAGACAATGGGATGCTCCACCACGACCCTATTCTACTTGCACTGTTAGTACTGAAAAGAAAGAGTTTTGTCCTGGGATGCAGCTGTACAACACTCTGAAATTTTGCAAAGGCCTGCTCATGGGAGTCATTTGGCAAATAAGTTGGTTTTCCAGAGGTTTTCATGGTGGGCCACTGGGGGAGCAGCATGGTTTGGTTGGAGTGAACCTCTCTGTAAGGCCTGTATTCCTGCCATGGGTCATCCCCCCATGCCTTTGGAGGCCAGAGTAAAATGCCAACATTTGATGGGGTGGGATGGGTCATCACTTCAAGCTGTCATTTCTCTCCCATGGGACCTATTCAGCGACTCCTGGGGATGGGAGGGGTGAAGGGTGCTCGGAAGGGGACAGGAGGCTGGAGAAAGCAAGTTGCCCACTGTTTGGGAAGGTGGGACTCTAGGGCACAGCTTCGTCCATCACTGGACGCTGAAAGGGTGTCTGAATAAGAAGGCTTGAAACATTTCCTGAAAAATCCAAAGAGTCATTTCTGTGGAAGCTCTTCCACACAATGGAATAAATCAGGAGCAGGAAGAATGCTAGCATGTCACAGTCCACCCGGCAGCATCTGGAATCTCTCCGGGGAAATATTAATTGCTGGCTTTTGTGGGTCTGCTTATTTCTATAGTCTGGCCTGCAGAGACAATAAACGCTGACTGTCCTAAGACAGGAGCCACTTGATTAATCACCAGTTGCTACTTCTGACCCTTGGCCGCGGCTGGGGTGCAGGGCTCTCCACTCTGGGAACCTGGGATTTGTGAGTGCACACACAGCACTCTGCAGTTTAAGCCCGTGCTTTTGGCTCACAGTGGCTACAGAAAGGAATTTTATTTTTTTATTTATTCATGTATTTATTAATTTATTTTAGTTGGAGTCTCACTCTGTCACCCAGGCTGGAGTGCAGTGGTGCAATCTCGGCTTTCTGCAACCTCCATCTCCCGGATTCAAGTGATTCTTCTCTCTCAGCCTCCTGAGTAGCTGGGATTAGAGGCACACACCACCATGCCTGGATAATTTTTGTATTTTAGTAGAGATGGGGTTTCACCATGTTGGCCAGGCTGGTCTCGAACTCCTGATCTTCTGATCCGCCTGCCTTGGCCTCCCAAAGTGCTGGGATTACAAGTGTGAGCCACCACGCCCAGCCCAGAAAGGAATTTTAAAAATCAACATGTTGCGCTTGAAAGCTTTTGTTTGGAGGAAGAAAAGTGATCGCAATGCTGTCCTTAATTTCTTTGTTTTTCTCTTTCTTCTTTAAAACAAAATCTCAGCACAAGCAACTGTATTTGTTTGGCATTTGTGCATTTTTTCATTCATATTTTACCTTATTCCAGAAAGTATTTTATACAGTGAGCACAATTATCATTGAATTTGCCAGTAACTGGCAGGACCCTGAAGGAATGCAAAATCCGTGAGGAGCCTGTGGTTCTTTTGGGTGAAAGGTAGCACCTGGCAGCAAGCCAAAGGGCATAAAGTGTGAACTGAAAAGAAAAGAGGCATCACAACCAAGAGGAACTCATCTTGCCTCTCTGTTGGGGCTGGCCATGACTGAGAAAAAGGCTCACTGACATCCTGTGGGAAACGCAAAAATCATCTGGCATGCACTAACTATGGTGATATGGCTCAGAGGTTTGCCCCTCCAAATCTCATGTTGAAATGTAATCCCCAGTGCTGGAGGTGGGGCCTGCTGGGAGGTGACTGGATCATGGCCGCAGATCCCTTATGAATGGCTTAGCACCATCCTTTGGTGATCAGTGAGCTCTCGCTCAGTTAGTTCATGTGAGAAATGGTTGTTTTAAAGAGTCTGGGGCCTCCCCCTTCTCTCTATTGCTCCCACTCTTGCCATGTGACATGCCTGCTCCCTTTGCACCTTCTGCCATGATCGGAAGCTTCCTGAGGCCTCACTAGAAGCCAAGGAGATGCTAGCACCATGCTTCCTGTACAGCTGCAGAACCATGAGCCAATTAAACCTCTTTATAAATTACCCAGCCTTAGGTATTTTTTATAGTAATGCAAAATGGACTAACATATGAATATCTTCAAAGTAAGGCCACATAAGTAAATGAAATTATCTCCTTTGTCCCATGTGCGTATATTTCAGAGGTTGAATAATGGTTAGTACTAATGTCATACCCTTAATCTCGACCTGAAGAAGAACTCACATGCAAGCAACACTGTACAAATGACCGGCAAGAACGCATCAGAGGCTCGGCGCAGTGGCTCATGCCTGTAATCCCAGCACTTTGGGAGGCCCGGGAGGGCAACTTGCTTGAGGCCAGAAGTTTGAGAGCAGCCTGGCCAACGTAGTGAGACCCCGTCTCTACTAAAAATAGGAAAAATTAGCTGGGCGTGGTGGTGCACGCCTGTAGTCCCAGCTACTCAGGAGGCTGAGGCAGGAGAATTGCTTGAACCCGGGAGGTGGAGGTTGCAGTGAGCTGAGATGGTGCCACTGCACTCCAGCCTGGGCAACAGAGTGAGACTCTGTCTCAAAATAAAAAAAACAAAAAAACCCAAAAAAAACAACAGAATACATCAGAGCCCTCGAATTCACTGTGCTCTGAGGGCCCACCAATAGCTAGAGCATTCCTGACAGCGCTATAAAATATCACCATAGTAAATTCCCAAAAACTATACAAATTTTACTCTTTAAAAAAATTTTTTATAGAGAGGGTCTCGCTCAGCCAGGCTGAAAAGCAGTGGCACAATCATAGCTCATTGCAGCCTTGAACTCCTGGGCTCAAGTGATCCCTACGTAACAAATTTTGTTCTCTGTAACAGAGCAGGGCTCCCTAACCCCCAGGCCACGGACCAGTGCTAGTCGGTGTCCTGTTAAGAAGCAGGCCACACAGCAGAAGGTAAGCGTTACCACTTGAACTCTGCCTCCCGTCAGATCAGCAGCAGCATTAGATTCTCATGGAAGCACAAACCCTATTGTGAGCTGTGCATGTGGGGGTCTAGGTTGCACGCTCCTTGAGAGAATCTAATGATAAATGGAATGCACTGGAATCTTCCTGAAATCATCATCCCCCACCACCACCCTTGGTCCGTGGGAAAACTGTCTTCCGTGAAACCAGTCCCTGGTGCCTACAGGCTGGGGGCTGCTGCTTTATAATGTTGTTCCGGAAGGAAAACATTCCCTCGAGTCTGTGCCATTTGCTGTGCTGGGAGGTGACATGTATACACCTTGAGTTTGGATTTCAGTGAAAAAGCCTTTGTTGATGCTTCGTCTAAAGATGCACAGTGAAAGGAGTCCTTCTTATCCTTTTGAATTACTGCAGACAGTGTTTAACCCAAAACTTTCACTGAGGCGATGCTGTCCCTCCCCACCAGTCAGCAACACTTGAACGGGGAGAACAAACCACAGTGGCACCATCCTGGGTTCAGAAAATGCAAACACGGCCGTGGCCCCGTTCCTGCTCCGGGAAAGGTCTCCGTGTCGTAGAAGAGAGTCCAGAACATATAGATCCCGGCAGAGATAGGAACAAACTGAAGAGCATTCTGCCCAGGTCGAATCTGTTCCCAGGGAAAGTGACAGTGTGTATCGCAGAAAATGGGGGGAAGCTCATTCTAAGTGGCGTGAACCCAGGGGCAGAGACTCAGAGTCACAAGAGGGTCTGGAATGTTTAGGGGACATTGAGGCTTCAGTGTGGCTGCAACACAGGGGAGGTGACATTTTGGGATAGGAAGGGACGGTGGGAGCCTGACTGGTACTTGGGATTGGACTGTGTCGAGCTCAGCGTGACCTGCTTAGCTGTTCACGAGCAATCTAGCTGCGAAATGAAATGATCACATTTGGTGTGGAGGAACCTAATTCTGGTGGTTCAGAGGATGCACCGAAGAGAGTGCAGAAACAGATGGATGCACGGACAGGGAGAGAAAAAGGAACCTGTAGTGCAGGGTCGGCAGGCCTGACCCGAGGAGGAGAGCAAGGTCAAGTTCAACACTGTCTCCCGGGTCCTGCAGGAGCCCGCTTCCTTCAGAGGGTCTGGGGTCCTCTTGGGATTGCTGGTAACGCAGCGGTAATTGCGTTACATATTCTAAATCTAAACAACATACCTAAACATAGAAAAGGTGTAGTAAAAACACAGTATTATAATCTTATGGGACCACCATTATACAGGCAGTCCATTCTTAACGAAAACATCGTTCCCACAGTCTCAAGCAGCCCCACTCCCGAGGCCACTGGCTGCTTCATAGGTGGGAGTTGAAGGCCTCCGGAATCTGTCAGCCATGTGTTTGAGAAGTGGCCATTAAGAAGGCAGAGAAATGGGACACGTGGAGGAGTAAGTGAGAGGGAGAAAGTTTCAAAATATAATTGGAGATACAGCAACATCATCCAATGGGCAGGAGTTCTTAATGATTCGGGAGCAAGAGGGTATATGCGAAAGACCAGTGATCCTTGAGAAGATAGAACCCACTTGGAAACATTAACCCTTGAAAGAAGGCAAAGACACGTCCCCCACTGCAATAAGAAGGAACAAGAGAAATGGGTGGAAACGGGTTGTTTAGTGAATAAGGGAAATGGGTGGAAACAGGTTGTTCGGTGATAAAATGGGGGATTTTACATCTGATGGGTTCAGTGGGGGTCTTTGGGAAGAGACACTGACTGGCATTTAACGCAAAGCATTTGAATTGTGCTGGTTTCCACCTTCAATAGACTCATTTCAGAATCATTGACTAGTGACCTCACATTCATTCCCCAAACAAACATGTACTAAGTGCCGGCTCCTATGCTGGCTGTGCTGGGGAGGTGGCAGGATGCAAAGATTAAAAGGCAATGATGGACAAGTGTGGTGGCTTACACTTGTAATTCTATCACTTTGGGAGGCTGAGGCAGGAGGATTCCCTTAAAGCCAGGAGTTCGAGACCAGCCTCAGCAACACAGTGAGAGCCCATCTCTTACAAAGAATAACACAATTAGTCAGGCATGGTGACGCATGCCTATAGTCCCAGCTACTCGGGAGGCTGAGGCAGGAGGATCACTTGAGACCTGCCGGAGTTTGAGGCTGCAGTAAGCTATGACTGCACCACTGCCCTCCAGCCTGGGTGACAGAGCAATGAGATCCTGACTCTAATAAAAAAAGGGCAATGATTTTTCAGATTCTATACAAAGGAAGGTAACTCACACTACCCAAGGGTTCTGAAGGACTTTGCCAAGATTGAGGAGTTGGCCAGGCAGAGAGAAGAGCATGGGGGAAGGGGGGGGCGGGGCTTGGCCACGTGCGGACAGGTAGATTCAGTAACTGTTAACACATGGGAAGTTGACTGGTTGTGACAGACAGTGGGGAAATCGGTGTGCATACAAACTGGGAACAGAACCTGGACTCCCGAGGCCGGTCCTGGTTCTCAGAGTGAGGATGTGCCGTCACCACGGAGCCAAGCATGAAATTTTGGGTAAATTTCTCCCTGAAGACCCCTTTTAAGCAATGTGAGGGTCCTCCTATATTGAAAGTATAACGTAAAATTGCGATTTGGGCCACTAGGTTATGTTTTTTTGAAGAGTCTGCCTGTCATACTGAGTATAAAATATTAAAGCCACAAACCGAATTTCTGTCCTCTAATCTGCTGTTTAATTTGTGACCTTCCCTACCCTCCCCAGGTCCCTCTCTGCCTCAGCATAATTCGTTCTCTGAAGGGACCACTAGCACAGCTGAGAAGTGCTTTAAGTCTGAGCACCACCGCGGAGACAAAGTACGGCTGGAGGACGAGTATCAGTGCTGAGTCTGATCTGCACACACTGAAGATGCCCCCCAGGTCATCTGGGTATGAAACAGCTGCAATCCGCAACGGCCCTGGGAGAAACCACTGAAGAGTGCCCTTCAGCATCCACAGCAAGAAAATCAGGCCACAGAAAGCTGTAAAGAGCCTTGGGATGGAGACTGAGAAGAGGCAGGACCACCTCTGACATTTACGTCAGTAGTGAGAATCAGGTGGACTGATGAAACCTCTAGTAAACCAAAGGCACCCTACACCTACGATAGTTGTTAAGATGTGCACAGACGTAGGATTGACCCACATCAAACCATCAGAGGAAGCATGCAGAGATGCAGCATGCACATGACTCTCTAGGCCTCAGTTTCCTCACTAGTAAAAGAGACAACTTTAATGAGTTGGTATATGCAAATGAGTTATGTACAAATGAAATGAGGTATGCAAATGAGTTGATGTACATAAATGAGTTGATACATGCAAATGATTGATGTATGTGAATGTATTACGTATGTAAATGAGCTGTTGTATGTAATGCACTCAGAACAGTACTCAGTACCCAGCCCTAGGGAAGAATTTTCAAATATCAATGCTGAGTCAGAATTACAGGTAAGAAGTGGTTCACACGGTTCTTGTCACAAAGAGTGACCCAACCTGGCCCCTTAGAAAACAGTTTCCTAACCTAGTTTTTGTGTGCAGATGACTGCCGTTCTCATTTCAGGTTTGCTCCTATCCCAGGGAAGAGGGGAGGTACACACACCAAATGGCTTCCCTCTGTATCGGTAGCTGCCCAGGCTGTTCCCCAAATGTCCAACTTGTCTCACCCACCCACCTACTTACTGTTGATTTGTGCCTGCGCTATTGCTGTTTCATTATTAATAAGCCAAGATGAAGCTGGAAATTGCTTTGTGCTGTTGAATTTCAGCACTGCCTCCTGTCTGTCTAATGCCCCTCGTGATAAACAGCCACCCATAGGCTGAAAAGGTTCCCAGCTCCCAGGTCACCTGGTGACTGGCCTCCGGGGTAGCACTTGTCCTGTCTCTGAGGCACTTTGGTTTCTCCTAAGGGGTCTGGGGCCACCTTCTGTTCCTCACATCTGCACAGGCTGCTATCAGTCAGGTGTCCCATGGGGCTAGAAGGGGCATGGCCTGTATCACACCTTAGCACGGCTCCCCTTAGGGGCTGCAATTTTGGAGGTGAGACCGCCCAAATCCAGAATCTTTTCTCTCCAGAGCACACACACGGGAGTCTGCGGAGGCTGTCCCTGTGCTGTGGGGACAGAGAGTGAGGGGCAGTGATGAGAGTGCGAGGAGCGGAGGGGAGTCTTCAGTGGAGGCAGCTCATTTGACAGCAGGTTTAACAACTTGAGATTTACATGTCAGGCTTCCGTGAGAGGGGAGAGACTGACAGGTTGACAGGTTTGCGTTTCCCACTTTTCCAGAAACTTATGGGGTCTCTGAGAACCTCCGTGAAGTGCGCTGAGATGTTTTCAACCTCCACACTCTGTGAAGGCAACACAAAAGCCAAGTTCCCGCTTTGCTTTTTTTTCTAACATAATTAGGAACCGAGAGTATCATAAGGAGATCAACACCCAGTAATCTCTGAATCTTAAAACAACCGCCACAAATGTCATGGCAGAATTAAAATAAAGTAATACCATAAGGTACATTTTTATCTCACAGGAAAGAAAGAAAATAGCAAGCTGTCAGGCAGCACTCCACGCATAGCTCAACAAGTCTCTCTCCTCTCTCAGGAGAATGAAAACTCCTGAGAGGCCGGACCTATGTCTGGAGGGTATCTGGGTCTCCTTCCAAAAGGGAAAAAGTCCCTGGCCAGTAGCAGATGTTCAATGAATTGAAGCGAATGAGCATCTATGTATCCACATGAATAAATGCAAAAAGGGGCAAGTAAGATACAGCCCCTTTCATCCACAACTCACGGTCTGGAGTAGGGGACACAGGCACAGTGCCTGGAGAAGGGACAAGAGGAAGGCCTGCAGGTGGCAGGTGACACGGGAGCTGGGCCTGAGGACTGAGCAGCGTGTTTCCACGCCAAAAAAACGAATGAGAGACGAGCATCCCTGGCAGAGACGACAGCAGATGAACAGACAGGGAGGCACGGGAGGCACGTCGGTAACATGTGATGCACCACTGAAATCTGTCTGGAGCCAAAACATTGAAAATACTGATTGGAAAAAAAAAAAAAATAGACCTACAGGAGCAAAACAAAAAACCTTGTTAGGCTGGGTGTGGTGGCTCACGCCTGTAATCCCAGCATTTTGGGAGGCTGAGGTGGGAGGATCACTTGAGTCCAGGAGTTCAAAACCAGCCTGGGCAACATAGTAAGACCCCCCATCTCTACAAAAACAAAAATAGGCTGGGCACGGTGGCTCACGCCTGTAGTCCCAGCACTTTGGAAGGCCAAGGTGGGTGGATCATGAGCTCAGGAATTCAAGACCAGCCTGACCAACATGGTGAAACCCTGCCTCTAATAAAATATACAAAAAATTAGGCAGGTGTGGGGGCGTGCGCCTGTCTCCCAGCTACTTGGAAGGCTGAGGCAGGAGAATCGCTTGAACCCGGGAGGTGGGGGTTGCAGTGAGCTGAGATCGCACCACTGCACACCAACGTGGGCGACAGAGCAAGACTCCGTCTCGACAAAAACCCAAAAACCAAAAAAAAAACCTTGTTACTCACCGTAGTAAAAACAGAATTCCTTAAATTTTAATTAATTAATATTCTATTTTTGAGACAGGGTCTCACTCTGTGGCCGAAGCTGGAGTGCAGTGGTACAATCACAGGCTCACCGGAGCTTAGACTTCCCGGGCTCAAGTGATTCTCCTGTCTCAGCCTTAGCTAGGATTACAGGTGTGTGCCACCATGGCTGGCTACTTTTTAAATTTCTGTAGAGATGGGGTCTCCCTACGTTGCCCAGGCTGGTCTCAACTTTGGGCTCAAGCGATCCTTCTGCCTTGGCCTCCTAAAGTGCTGGGATTACAGACATGAGCTACTGTGCCTGGCCAAATTTTAATTTAAATGCCACGTGTCCGCACACACAAAGACTGAGAAAACACACGATGGTGTTCAGTGTGCATCATATAACAATGAGCTGTTTTTCTTACATAACTGACAAGAACTCTGCCTTCACTCCGGTCAAGGATTTGAGAGCATCTCCTGTAATACTAAATTGCCTAGACAGAAAAATGCATTCAGTCACTCTCTCCCCATCTTTTCACCACTTCTTAAGCCCAAAGGTTGGCGAGATGCTGGGTCTGAGGGGCTTCTGAGTGAAACAGTGTCATGTATTTTGCCTTTTGCAAATAAATGAGTTTTCCCCGACGTTATGTTGTCCAGGTAAAGAGTAACTGAAGTAACTCAAAGTGAACATTCAGAGAGGGCAGGCAGGATGCCCTGTCCCCGCAACCTTCTGAGCTCTGATCCCTGTGGCTAGACAAACATGTATCTAGCACCTTCCTTGTCCAGGAGGGACCTGGTTCAAAGAAGGACAAACTCTGCACAGAGAAATAAATGCCCACTTAGAGCCCAGCATGGCAAGAGGCCTCAGGGGCAGGAGGGAACTTCCTTGGGGAAGCGGGGTGAAGGGATAACATCCAAATTAAAGCTTGAAGAAGAAGGATGAATTCAGAGCAAAGGAGGAAGATGGGGAGGGCCCTGCCCGGGCAGGTCAAAGGCCCGAAGGTGAGAGAAAGTGTGTCCTCTTTGCAGCACCAAAAACTACTCACTGGAGTCAAGGGGGCAGGCGAGAGAAGCAGGAACTAGAGGCCAGGGAGCCAGCCCCCTGCAGCCTTGGGCTGGGGAATTTGGACTTTGGACTAAGGGCAATGGAGAGCAAGGAATGGGGGAGCCATGTGACCAGCTAAACAGGAGTGGAGTGAATAATCTTGTTTGGAATGGAGGCAGGGTGGCCGTGGGCTTCTCCAAGCTCAGTCCCCTACAGAGTCCCCTACTGAGCCTGGGAGTCACTCCAGTCCTCCAAAGAGAAATCTACGAGGCTGTAGTTGATCACCCACTGGCCCTGTGTCTAAGCAGTCATCCGTTCCATACTGCTCCAGCTTTGATGCCAGGACCCTACTTTTCTAAGAATCAAGGGCGTTCGCAGTATCCAGGATGGATTTCTCGCTCCTGAAACCCAAGGTTGCCAGTGACCAGCCTCCTAGTAACAGCTGCTATTCCCCCTCAGTTCTACCCTCTGCCTATTTGAGCTTGGAGGGCTGTTGACTAAATGCCTTACCTCTAGTTAGAGGGACATGCCCTGAGATTGGCCTCAGTTTGGACCTTTAGCCAAAATTACTGTAGCTCACCTGTGCTTCTTCCCCTTATAGGTTTAAATCCTAGCTGGAGACCTAAATATGGACTCACCTCACCTGATACCCATCTCTTGAACAGGCGTCTGAAGCTTCTGCACCCATAGATCACTCTGGAATTTTAGTCCCAGCCTCTCCTGGTCTGGAACATCCCACCAAGCGCTGAGCTCCTAGGACCAACAGAAGGAAGAGGTGCTCCCACAGCCCCAAACCGGGCCTCATACCCCACTTTCTCCAGCACAGTTATTGGAGCCTCACAATTACCCTCTGAGGAAGTATGATTCGTTTTCCTGTTTTGCAGATAAAGAAGTTCAGGCCCAGAAAAACTGAATATCTTCCGTAGGGTCACACAGCAATTGAAAGAGGAGAGCTGGGACCTGCCGGCTGCGACGACGGCAGAGGAGGCAAAGCCAGGAGGGCTTCATTCCAGCTCCACATCCGCAAAGAGATCTGGATGACCTTAGCCTTCAAATTCAAGTCTACTTAAAATCTACGCACCTGTTCAGACTGTTCTGCCAAGTGAAGGTCAACCTATATGAATACCAACTGCTGATATTATCCAACTTATTTGGAAAGTTCTAGAATTCTACAATATTTTTAAAACTGCACCCATTTTTGCTTACACTGCAGAGCAAGTGTCCCACATACATGGCCTGGCACTTTTGTGGAGGCACTCGGAGGTGTTAGGTGAGTGTTCCTGGGCGACACAGGAAGTTAGCACCTGGCACAGATGGAGACAGATGTTCCTTGTCCCCCACTCCCAGTGTGTTACATAATGTAACTCTCAGGTGGGGTTAATTTTGGAGAATGGGCCCTTCTGACTGTGAGTTCCACGCTGCTGGGAAAATGGGATGACTGTGGTGAGCCATTGCAAGAGTGGGGAAAGGCAGAAACAAAACATTTTCATAAAGATTAATGTGCTTGGCTGGGGATGGTGGCTTGCACCTGTAAACTCAGCTACTTGAGAGGCTGAGGTGGGAGGATCACTTAAGCCCAGGAGTTTGAGACCATTCTTGATGATACAGAGACCTCCATCTCAAAACAACAACAACAACAAAAACACCAGATGCAGTGGCTCATGCCTGTAATCCCAGCACTTTGGGAGGCCAAGGCCGGCAAATCATCCGAACTCAGGAGTTTGAGACCAGCCTGGGCAACATGGCAAAACCCCATCTCTACCAAAAAAATACAAAAATTACCCAGGCGTGGTGGTGCATGCTGGTAGTCCCAGCTACTTGGGGGCCTAAGGTGAGAGGATCGCTTGAATTTGGAGGTTGAGCCTGCAGTGAGCTGTGTTCGTTCACGCCACTCCACTCCAGCCTGGGTGACAAAAGCAGACCCTTTCTTAAAGAAGAAGAAAGAAGAAAGAAGGAAGAAGAAGAAGGAGGAAGAAGAAGAAGGAGGAGGAGGAGGAGGGAGGAAGGAGGAAGAAGGAGGAAGAAGAAGAAGGAGGAGGAGGAGGGAGGAAGGAGGAGGAAGAAGAAGAAGAGGAGGAGGAGGGAGGAAGGAGGAAGAAGGAGGAAGAAGAAGAAGAAGAGGAGGAGGAGGAAGAAGAAGAGATTGATGTGCTAAAATTTGGGCATTTTTGTTCAGCAGCTGTTTCACAGAGGAAGCAGGTCATAGCATAGCCAGCATAGCCAGCATTGCCAGGCAGACGTAAGACTGTCCACCTGGAGCCAGTGTCCCCAGCAAGCCGGAGCGCTATCTCGGGACTGCATCTCCATCTCTTTGGAAACGATGAGCCTGCTAAGGAGAAGTCTCCGATATTCTTGGTGATGCACCTCTCCCTACTGCACTCCCTGGGCAAATCCCTACACAGTCTCTTCTCTAAGCTCTGTTGAATACGCAGGCCACTTTTCTCCCCCTGGAAACTGCTAAATGATTGTGAAATCAGTGGTCCACAAAATGAACCCCCCCAAGTCCTCATTTCACAGGCACCCAGTCAATGCTCGGTAAATACGGATTGGGTGAAGGGCTCCCCTCCTCCCTGGCACTGGGTTTGACAGGAGTCATGTCGGGATTTGAGACCTGACATGCTCTGTGTAACCTGGTCTTGGGTTTTTCTCCTAAATGCTCACTGACACTTCCTACAAACCATCAAAAAATGCAGGGGGTGACGTTTGTCTGTCTTTCCAGCCTTCTTGTAGGATAGCGTCTTCCACACAGGCAGATGCTCCTGAGCACCCCAACCCCAGCACCCCCTTCATCTGAGCAGCCGCTTCCTGACCCCCAACCGCCCGCTCATCTGAGCTCCCTCCTGGAAGTTTTGAGTTTAGGGCCAGAGAGGACAGGAGTCTGTCCAGTCTGCTGGTGGCAGCTGTAAGAGAGAAAGCTGGCCTGAAATGAAGAATTAAGCCAAAATGTGAGAAGAAGCACACGTAAGAGACGAGGCGAGAAGCGTCCCGGAGCACTCGAGAGATCTTAGTTCCAGGCGCTCATGACCTTCTCATGGTCTGGTTCCATGAGGCATCACAGTTTGAATTTCTATTGCTTGAAACGAAAAGAATTCCCTTCTTTATCCTTTTCCCCTCCTCCCATCCCCATTCCAGAATACACCACCTTCCAGGACACACATTATCCAAGAATCTCGCCTACCCCTGGTGCTTCTCACCTATCTTAACAGGGGCATTCTCAAAGAAGACTAGGAAACACTGGAATTTTGAAAGATATGACATTTCTCCCTCTGCGGCAAAGGCAAAACAAAGAACGCCCAGGTGTTGCCTCCAATGGAAGAGCACGGCCTGGAAGGGCAGACGACTTTCTATACGACCTTGAGCAAAGCCCCTCGCTTCAGCCTGGCACAGAGAGGAAAAGCCCAACTTCCTCATCACATACATTCAGGGGAATTCTCTCCAGAAGCAAAGGATGCGTGAGGTCTTTGGAGAGGGGTCTGTATGAGCACACGTTTTACATATGCCATTGTGATTCACGCATATGAACTAATTGCAGGGCAACCGCATGCAGCACATCAAAGCGCTAAAATGGAAACACAGGTGCAGCCTTCCCTGGCTGCTATACCGTCAGCTGTCCTCACCATGCAGTATGAATACTGGAGGAATATTAGCGTATACTCAGTGAAAAAGAAGGAGGGAGAAAGCTCACCAGGAAGCCAATTATCTGGGACAAATTTCAGCCTTATCTGCCATGGTAAGCCGGAGTGATGGCCATAATAACAGGTATTTTTAGTTTGAGCTATCTACCTGAAGAATGATTTTTAACTCTTTCTGATAGCAACTTCTGGAATCCTTAAGGATAGAGACCATGTTTAACTCATCTGGGTATCCCCAAAGTAACTAGCACATAGAAGATACGTAATACCTGTCTTCTGAATGAATCAATGGATGACCAGATGGACTAAGAGGTGATGGGTAAATGATAGGGACAAGCAGGGAAAAAGTCATATAAGGACTGTGCTATTCTCCACATCTTTGTGTTTTTCAGTTCAGGGAGTTCTGTCTGTCTGACATATGGCTAAGCATTTTCAGGGATATGAACGCAATAGGAACAAAGATTCCCACCCTCAAGTAGCCTAAAGACTCAGTGGAGGAGAAAACCTAGACCCATAAAGCGGTGACAGCAACAGAGTGGTGAATGGTTAATCAGAGAAATCTGGGCAAGGGATGGTACATGATACAAAACACGGAGAAAAGGGGGCTCAGTAGGGGACAGGGGTGGGACATGGGAGGAAGAAGGCACTTAGCCAGACCTGGAAAAGTAGGTGGGTTTGGACACAAGAGATAGAGGGGTCCATGAAAAAAGGAAAGTAAAAGCCGAGGCCAGACAAGGAAGAAAGCCACGATGGGTTCCAGAAATGCTCCCTCTCCCAGCAGTGTCCCCACAGACCATGGCTCGATAAATACTCACAGCACATCTCTTTAAACAAAAGCTGAAGTTTAAACATTTCTGTGGTCACTGTCTGGTGCTCTAGACACAGAATTCTCAATGAAATGGAATCACCCGGGTGCCTCCATATAATCTGGGATGGGACTAACCAGCCCATCAGCTCCCAGGGTGCTGTCCCCGCCTTGGCTTTGGCTCTCAGTTCTTACTATTCCGGAGTAGGGCTAAAGGATCATGGTTTTTCCTCCCACGGAATTTAGGACTTTTTTTGTTTCTTTTGGTCTTTTCAAAGTCATTTTGAGTATTAATGTACTTTCATCGGTGTGCTTAGGGCAGGGAAACATAAGTCACACGGCAATCCATATATAAAAATCCATAAAAAATATTCATATATAAAACAACACAGTGACAACCACAAAGCTATCTGAGATGATGAGGGAAGAGAGCTTGGGACTGTCAGCGGCAGAGGAGGACGACCAGCCTCAGCCTCCGCCACAGCCCCCTGCCTGCCACCCCGCCAAGGCAGCTGCAGCACGCCAGCCAGGAACATTTGCTTACTGTACCTCTTCTGAAACCAAAATGACCACATAAGGTGCCTATAGAGAGACAGTCTCATGCAGCCATCCAGAGGACAGGTTCCAGAGTTGGCGTTCATAGGCCAGCTCCACCACAGACCAGGCATGTGATGCTGGGCAGATTCCTTAGATCCGGTCCAGCTTCCTCCAGTGTAAAAGAGGAGTGGTGATGGTGGAAGCTTCCCACAGGGGTGTCATGAGGATGGAGCCTTCTGAACAGTGCTTGGCACAAGATGAATGGCTCATATGTTGTATGATTTGGAAAAGAACAGTAGAAACAAACATATGGTGTCACCCCATCCACTCTGAAAAGCGGTGTCACCTCTAGGAATTATTTTGCCCTCTCTGAATCTCAGTGTTCTCATCTATGGGCAGCATCTAACAAGCCCCTGCCTCCCCGCACTGCCCCACTGCCTACCTCTCAGGGCTGTATTAAGAATCCAGGGAGGCTGTGTGCGGTGGCTCACACCCGGAATCCCAACACTTTGGGAGGCCAAGGCAGGTGGATCACTTGAGGCCAGGAGTTTGAGACTAGCCTGGCCAACGTGGTAAAACCCCATCTCCATAAAAAATACAAAAATTAGCCGGGAGTGGTGGCATGTGCCTGTAATCCCAGCTACGCAGGAGAATCGCTTGAACCCAGCAGGCAGAGGTTGCAGGGAGCCAAGATCGCCCCACTGCACTCCAGCCTGGGCGACAGAGTGAGACTGTCTCAAAAAAAAAAAAAAAATCCAGGAAGATGACATAGGTGCAAGGGCATGGAAATTGTCAGGCCTTATACGGATGGGAAGGATCATCGCAACAGAATGGAAACCAGTGTCATCATTCCATTCATTCCCCTAGTGCGATGGTAATGTGTCAATTTGGCTGGGCCCCGGTATTCAGATATTTGGTCATATTTCTGTGGAGGTATTTTTTTAGATGAGATTAACATTTAAATCAGCTGAGTTTGAGTAAATCAGACGACCTTCCATAATGTGGTGGGCTCCATCCAACCAGTTGAAGGCCTGAATAGAACCAAAGCTGACTTTCCCTGAGCAAGAAGGAATTCTGCTTGTCGGCTGCCCGCCTTTGGACTCCAGCTGCACCTCTTCCCTGCGTCTCCAGCCTGCCCGCCAACCTCCACAGTCACAGGAGTCCAGTCCTGAAAATCAGTCAATCCCCCACCCCCACTCCACACACACACACACACACACACACACACACACACACACACACACACACCCTGCTGGTTCTGTTTCTCTGGAGAACTCTGGCTAATACACCTAGTATTTACTGAGCACCTATGACACCTATGACAGTTGGGCACCGTGTAGTGCTCTGGATTCAAAGGGGAACAAGAAGGACATGGCCCTGCCCTCATGGAGCTTACATTCGTTAAGGAGACCCACTGAACATGGAATTACGCAGATCAGTCATCTAAAGAGTGATGAATGCAATGAGGAGAAACTTTGGGGGGTTACGGAAGCACACGAGGGGGCACCCAGCCTGGATAACCTGGGGTTGGGGAGGTTGGCAGGGAAAGCCTCCCCAAGGAATTGGCATTTCACTGATATCCACAGGATGGACAGGAATCAGCCAAGGGAAGGCTGTGCAGATCCACCCTGGGAGCCTCCAGACAAGAGCCAACTTCCTTCTGGGCTTCCGGCATCCATTCCTGGCCACACTTTCACCATCTGTACTTGTAACAGAGCGTGACTGCAGGGTCGCGTGGCGTGGACATGCAAATGGTGCGTTATTAGTCCTCCAGCACCTCTGAGCCCCCTGTAGGGTGCTACTTTGCTACTTTTTCACTTTTTATAGAATGCGGAACAAGGTAGGGGAAAGGCCAAGCTACAAACCCTGCTCTCTGTTTTTCCGATTTCCTATGATTAGCTTTCCATGGATTTCTATAAAAATACCTCCCAGCGAGTATCTTACTGATTGGATTTTCAAAACATTGTCCTTCACTGAAAATCTTCTTGTGCAAATATGATAAAATATTTTCTTAAAATGTTTAAAACAGGCCATGCGCAGTGGCTCATGTTTGTAATCCCAACACTTTGGGAGGTCAAGGCGGGTGGATCGCTTGAGCCCAAGTGTTTGAGACCAGCCTGGCCAACATGGAGAAATCCTGTCTCTACAAAAAATACAAAAAATTAGCAGGGCATGGTGGCTAATGTGGTCCCAGCTACCTGAGAGGCTGAGGTGGGAGGATCCCCTGAGCTCAGGAAGTTGAGGCTGCAGTGAACCGTGTCAGGGCCACTGCACTCCAGCCTGGCTGACGAAGGAAGACGCTGTCTAAAATTATATATTTACATAAAACAAGGAGCAAATCAAATGCATGATGACGGGACAAAAATGACTGTCCCTCAGCTCATCATGGGCTAAGGCATTCCCCAGGGCCCTTTGTCCTGCTTCCCAAACTTGAGGGAAAGGGGCACATGGCCAGGCTGCAGAAGGAAATAACCTTTGGGGAAAACAACATTCTCCTTTTTCCTGTAGAAACCTGAGAGTTTCCATTGTTGTAAACTCTTCTGGGCTTCCTGTTTTGAGGCTCACAAAAAAAGAGCTTGTAGCAACTTAGTTACTAATGACAGTCAGTGAGTGAGGAGTTTACAAATTGGTTCCACACTGCCTGATCCCATTCTTGCTTCAGACCCCGGGACATAACACGCCACTTTTCCAGCATGTGCCTGGCCCCCAGCAGCTCCTCCACCAATACTGACTGCACCAATCTCACTGCATGGTCTCAGTCCTCTGCCTTTTGCCCCAGGCTGGCCTGAGCTGCTCCAGCCTAACCACTGCGCCGGTGGGTTTTCAGGGTACATACAGAAAGGGTCCTAAATGTAGTGCCGACGCTGCTGCTAGGGGAAGGGGCAGCTGAGCGTTTACAGCAGGGTGCTGGTGAGGAGCCAGGGTCGGCCTGGGAGCAGCCAGGACGGAGCAGGCAAGAGCACTCTTTTGTAAGGCATGCCATTGTGATCTCACACTCCAGGAGAAAAGAACTCAGCGGAAACTGAAGAAGCTAGCATTGGAAAACAGACCAATTTTACCATCACCGATTTCAGCGAGAAAATAACTTTATTAGCTACAGCTGGAACAGAGCTCCACTAACGAATCCACCCAGCATTCACTGTTGTTGCTTAACAGATCTCAAATGAGCTACAAGTGGACAAAATTGATATCTGAATCTTTGGTTGTGGCACAGAACACAGACGCAGACTGAGGGAACTGGAAAAGAGATTTGGCAGGAAATTTGTCTCTAGCACTCGGTGCTACTGTAATTGTTCTATTTTTGGTTGTTTTTCCTGTAATCCCAGCACTTTGAGAAGCCGAGGCGGGCGGATCACCTGAGGTCAGGAGTTCAAGACCAGCCTGGCCAACATGGTGAAACCCCCTCTCTACTAAAAAACAAAATTAGCTGAGCGTGGTGGCATATGCCTGTAATCCCAGCTACTTGGGAGGCTGAGGCAGGAGAATCGCTTGAATCTGGGAAGCAGAGTTTGCAGTGAGCCAAGATCGTGCCATTGCATTCCAGCCTGGGCGACAGAGCAAGATTCTGTCTCAAAAAAAAAAAGAATGTATCGGAATTATTCTCCCCCTCCATAATAATACATTTTGGTTCAATGAGGCATTAGAAAGGGATTCAAATATTTTCTATTTGATACGAACAATTCAGTAGGCAAGAACAGCATTTCCTATTCTGTTTGAGGCACAAAGGAAAACTTTCTAATTAACTCAGCAGTTTGGACTCACCATTTTTTTAACATAAAATATTTCTATCGATCCCATTTTAATGGGATAATTATAACAAATCATGCTTAACTTTCCTTTCATCCATTAACAAGAGAAAGACTATAGAAAGATAAGATGCTGGGAATGTTAGCTTAAAATATACCTACTGTTTCCATTCTCCTGATATCAGTAATGGTCTAATTGTGCTGAGCTTAACTAAAATGTGGTTTTTGGACAAAGACTGATCAAAAGCCCTATTCTGGCATTATAATCCATCTTATTGCCCTTTGGTTAATTGAGACAGTGGCATTTATTCCAGAGAGAATTCCCTCATTTTATCTCATGTTTTTATTCCATAAATCAGGATGCTAATTAGGAATTACAGGTATTCCAGGAGGCCCCAAGGCTGTCCACCAATTATGATAAAGGTTGCTAGCTTTTAAAAAGTCCCCTTATAAAAATTATCTTTCTTCTCCTCCTCCTACACACTTACACACACACACGTGCACACACATACACAAGCCTACCATCTCCATTTAATACCTTAAAATAGAGCCAGCAGAATTGAGATCAAAAGTTGCAAAATGGGGCAGGGCGCTGTGACTCACACCTGTAATCCAAGCACTTTGGGAAGCCAAGGCGGGTGGATCACCTGACGTCAGGAGTTGACCAGCCTGGCCAACATGGTGAAACCCCACCTCTACTAAAAATACAAAAAGTTAGCCAGGCATGGTGGCGGGTGCCTGTAATCTCAGCTACTCGGGAGGCTGAGGCAGGAGAATTGCTTGAAACCGGGAGGCGGAGGTTGCAGTGAGCTGAGATTGTGCCATTGCACTCTAGCCTGGGCAACAAGAGTGAAACCCTGTTTTTAAAAAAAAAAAAAAGTTGCAAAATGGGAGGAAAAGATTACGAATCTCTTATTCAAATTCTGATTAACAGTTTTCCACAACAAATCATCTTTTACATTCAGAAGTTTAAACTTTTGTCTTCTCCCACAAAGTGGGATGACAAGTTAGTGCCTCTTGCTGGCCCTCAGTTTCCTTACATGCAAAATGAGAGGACAGGACAAGAAGGTCTTCGAGAAAATTCCTCAGTGAGGAATGTGGACACTGTTTCCTCTTTGCCAGCGTGTGGCATGAAGCGTCACCTTCTTCCTGATGTAAAACCCTGGGACAACTCGCACCCTGGGAAGAGCAGGTGGAGCCAAGGACCACTGGGTTCTGGTCACGTCCATGTTTTCACTGTTTCTGCCTCATTTTTGCAGCTGCCTCTTTCAGGACGGACCCTACACAGTGCTCAGCGCCCCATCAAGACTTCACACGGACTGTATAGAATTTTTTTTTTTAAGTTCAACCACATTGTGTATCCTTTCTAGCACTGAGCTGGCACTGAAAGGGTACAAAGATGAAAAGAACATGTTTCCTCCTCCCAAGAAGCTAACAACCTAGTGACGGAAACTGAAATGAACATTCCACTAGAAACATAAGGGGCTGAATTCTAGCTTGCCCATAGATACGTCTTGTGGAGTATATGTACACATATCAGTGCCTGGAAGGCGTCAGGTCCCTGAAACTTAAACAAAAATGTGTTCAGAAGAGCCTGTCTACTCATATGAAGCAGGCAGGGGAAGTTCAGAGAAGTAGGAAATGCAGGATCTCCACGGAGAAAGTGGATGCTAAATTCTGTTTCTCTACTTGCACTCTGAAAGCTCAAGAACAGACCTGGTATATAAGATAGGAGACTCTGGGCTACAGGACCAAACCAGTCCTCCCTGCTCACTGTGGGTCCTTTCATCCATTTTGCTCTGTGTAGACATCTCTGGCCAGGAACGCCAGAAAATGAGTATTTTATATGTAGCGATATGCCATCCTATCATAAATCTGATCTAATTAAACCAAAATGTGCTGCTTACCCCTTCTAGTTCTCCATTTGATAATGAAGACAACAGAAAATGATATCCACACACCCTCATCAGCAGAATTAAAGGTGATCATATTAATAATGAATGAAAATGGCTTCACACTTTTTTTTTTTTTTTTTTTTTGAGATGGAGTCTCGCTCTGTCGCCCAGCCTGGAGTGCAGTGGTGGCGATCTTGGCTTACTGCAACTCCGCCTCCCGGGTTCAAGTGATCCTCCTGCCTCAGCCTCCTGAGTAGCTGGGATTACAGGTGCCTGCCACCATGCCTGGCTAATTTTTGTATTTTTAGTAGAGGCAGGGTTTTCACCATCTTGGCCAGGCTGGTCTCGAACTTCTGACCTCAAGTGATCCACCCGCCTCAATCTCCCAAAGTGCTGGGATTACAGACGTGAGCCACCATGCCTGGCTCACACTTTCTTTATACACGTCCTTGGGATGACTTTCCTGCCCAGTAACCTCTAACGGAGAATATTCTCCTAACAGTTCCCACTCTTTGCAAGAACGGGGAGTGCTAAGTTCAACAGTGGCATGGCATAGAAGAAAGCCCCTGTGTCTGAGGTCTTTCAGGTTTGCCCCAGAAATAGCATGGCCCTTCTGGCAGCGCCACCTGCGCTTCCTGAGCTCCGGGCGCCTGGGGCGGCGCTAGCAGCATACTGCGCATGTGCTGTCCAGAGGCTGGCGAAATCTACATCCGTGGGAAAAAAGAAACCGCGAAGATTAAGAGTCAGAACATTTTCCCCAAGTCGCCTTTCTCTGGAGGTATCGGTTGAAGGAAGGCTCAAAATAAGAAATAAAGGAAGAAAGGGAAAACAACCACCACCCCCAACTCTACGTAAGCTTAACTATGGAGTTTAACGTCACATGAGTTAATTTCCCAGAAGAGCTAACAATTTAATTTACAAAGCTATCAGGCTAGCTATAGTGATGAATAGGTATTATTTATGCCGTTCCCGCCCCCTCCAACAGTGAACCAAAATAAAAGAGAACTCACAATTTGCTTTTCCCAACTTTAGTGTTTAAGAATGAAGTTGTGAGTGTAGTGGGATCTAGCGGGATCCAGAATCTACTGGGATCCAGTGGGATCCAGAATTGTCCATCACATTTGAATTCTTTATGAATACTTGAAGTAAAGATGTTAATTCTGGCTCAGAGCTTTTCTCTTTGGTCATGCTTCAGGATGAGGAAGGACAGCAATAATAATGAGGAATTGGACAATCTGTGTGTAAATAAACTGCACCTTGGTGGGCTGAAAGGCATGAGATTTTCCCCGGCATCACCTCCTGAACAACAGAGAGCTATCCCCACTGTTTCTACTTGTTGACTGAGTGAATAACAGCTACCGAGTACCTTTTTTAAAAACAGTATTTTAGGGAGGCTGAGGCAGGAGAATCACTTGAGCCCAGGAGGTGGAGGTTGCAGTGAGCCAAGATCGTGCCATTGCACTCCAGCCTGGGCAACAAGAGTGAAACTCTGACTCAAAAAACAAAAAACAAAAAAAACAAAACCAAAACCAAACAAACAAAAAACCACAGTATTTTAATCTAATTTTAAAAATCTTGTTCTCCTCTTCCTCTAAGAAGAATGTAAACTGAACAGAAATCTTGTCTTTCTCTTCCATACAGTGTCACAAGGAGTTAGTAACTGAATGACTTCTACCCTAAAAGGGTAAAAGGTTGATTGTCATCAATCCAATATGACTGTCACCATTACCATTCTCACTTTTAAAAATGTTGATGCACCATGGTGTGGCTGCAGAGCCATATACTTAGCAAGTCAAACAGATAACATGCTTTGCTCTGGAAGCTTCTAATCCAAGACAGAAAGCTCTGACATTAAGCTGTGACATACTAACAAATGAACCTTAAACATGGATGTTAATTAATTGTGCAAACAAATTTCATGAAGAACTGACTTAGGAGAAGCAACCGTTTTCAAACAGATTAGAATCATCATTTACATATAAGCCAAATCAGTGAAATATGAATGGGGACTAAGCTGCTTTGATCCACTAATCATCTTTATCTGCTTATTAAGAATATCTCTATAAGACTACTTAGTAGCATAATTTGTTTATGTAACTTCAAAGTGAGACAGAATCATTTTAAGCCTACAATCCTGATTTTTCCTTAAATCAGATTGTCCTTCATATTGGCCCAAATTGGTGAGCTTTCTAAGACTGACTGGAATAAAGCACTAAGTTATAAGTACCTTAAGGACAGGTGCTCTGCCTTGTCCATTATTTCAAACCTAAGCCTACCGCTCAGCACAGTACCTAACACCTAGTAGGTGCTTAATAAATATTTGCTGTGGGCTGGGCATGGTGGCTCATGCCTGTAATCCTAGCACTTTGGGAGGCCGAGGTGGGCAGATCACTGGAGGTCAGGAGTTTGAGACCAGCCTCGCCAAGATGGAGAAACCCCGTCTCTACTAAAAATACAAAAATTAACTGGGTGTGGTGGCGCATGCCTGTAATCCCAGCTACTTGGGAGGCTGAGGCAAGAGAATCACTTGAACCCCGGAGGTGGAGGTTGCAGTGAGCCAAGATTGTACCACTGTACTCCAGCCTGGGGGACAGAGTGAGACTCTGTCTCAAAAAAAAAAAAAAAAATTGCTGTGTATCAGGAAATGCTCTAGGGGCAGAGGATCCTGAGATGGTTTGTGTGTGTGCGCGCATGTGCGTGTGCATGCCTCAACTCCAAGTACATGGAAATTACCTCCATTTCTTCCATCACCATGGCCTCCAGAAAAGCTTTTGCCTCAAGAGGTGCTCAGTGGCCAGAAATGACTCCCTGGTGGTGGCTGGGGAGTGGGATTGTTGCTGGAAACAGCAGGGAGTGGGAAGGAGGGAAGGGATGGGATAGCACGCCTCCCTTCTCCCTCATTCTGTGTATCTATTCTTGGCTGTTATTCCCCTTCCTCTCCCAATCCTGACTCTGAAAAGTATGTCTTTCCCCACTGGACAAAGGCAATTGGTTCCCAACGTTATTTTGCTACCACTGCAGTTCCATGACACTCTTGTCTCCACCCCAAATTGTCAAGGGTCATGTTTATCTAGTGACAGCCAGTGATACAGTAGGAAATAAAATGGCCGAAAGGTCCTGACTTCTTGCCCTGCTTCTGGAGTCACTGGAAAACCTGTTACCTTCACTGGGCCTCAGTTTTCTTGTCTACTAAATAAGAAGTTGCTCTACATAAACCCATGAAATCTGTTCCTATGGAGGAAGGCCTCCCAGGTTTCCAGAGGGAGGTGGTGGGTGGCTGAGGCTGAGGGGCAGTGGTCCGGCTGGGTGACAACACTCTCACCTTCAGGGCCATCTCAAGCGTTGGAGATTCCTGCTCCCCTCCTCCACTCTAGGAGACTCCAGGTCAGGTTTAAATAATCAATCAACTTGCTTTTGGGAATTCCATCAAACTTGTCTACCTCAAACCTGCCGATTTATATATAGCGCCAATTATTTATGTTCTATATTAAACTCCACTGTATTTCTTGGTGATATTAAAATATAAATTATGCAACAGATAAATTGATGGAAATTTTTCCACATGGGTATAAAGAACTGCTGTTCCTAATGATGGTGAGATATCCGTGGAGGTGGAGAGAGCAGGAGTCTGGGAGGATGGGCCTTCGCTGAGGTCAGGCAGTTTGGCACCATATGGTAGGGCAGAGTAAGAGCCTGCTGAAATGGAAGAACCAGATGCTCTGTGCAGGAAGAGGCAGGGTCTTGGCAACTTCTCGTTTTTCTTTTTCTTTTTCTTTTTTATTGAGATGGAGTCTCGCTCTGTCGTCAAGGCTGGAGTACAGTGGCGCGATCTCTGCTCACTGCAACCTCTGCCTCCCAGGTTCAAGCGATTCTCCTGCCTCAGCCTCCTGAGTAGCTGGGATTACAGGTACGTGCCGCCAAGCTTGGCTAATTTTTGTATTTTTAGTAGAGACGGGGTTTCACCATGTTGGTCAGGCTGGTCTCGAACCCCTGACCTCGTGATCCGCCCGCCTCGGCCTCCCAAAGTGCTTGGATTACAGGCGTGAGCCACCGCGCCCAGCCAACTTCTTGTTCCAATCATGGTACACATTCTCTCCAACTGTCACTTCCTCCCCCTCACTGTTACCCATGCCCCAGAAGCCTGAGCAGATCAGGAGGGTGGCCTCAGCTGCCACGTGGCCACTGGGCAGATGGAAGCCACACCTTCTCTTATGATGTTCTGTGACCCCAGACCGATGCCCCGCTCCTCGACACAGTCTCATGGGTGAACTCAGGGCTTTGATTACATTTTGGATTGCAAATCAGTGAGAGAGATATCTTTAATTTTTTTAAAAAAGTGTGAAATGCAAACTTTAGTTTACTAACAAGCATAACTCCTCATTGTAAGGCCCCTTATCTGTGGTCACTACATATGGTACATCATGAAATCAAGATTGGACCAGTGTCCTTTGCCCTCTAAACTATTTTTGTGTCAGTGCTGGGTCATCCTGCTGGCTGGGACACTCTTTCTGCTGTTTTGGTCCCTGGCCTTGGCACCCTGATGTCCTTGTCTCAGAATTCCAGGGAGGTCATTAGGGATAGAGGGGGAGAGGTCGGAGCCACCTGAAGATGCATCCACATCAACCCTTGTAGGAACCACAGACAAGGCCAGTACTGTAGGTGCAGGAGGACGGTTTCTGATGTGCTTCATTTTGAGGTGCCCTGGACAGGGCGGTATTGGGGTACATGAGCACCCCAGGCTGGCTGATCATCTGGCACCTTTTCAAGGAGATACCACTTAAACATTTGCTCACACTTATTCAGAAGAGAACTGGCTTAGAGTACAGGAGGGGAAGGTCACTGCACTGACAGCTTGATTTCACTGTGTCCAGAGCAGTTCAGCTCCGGCACTGAAGTTCCAAATCCCTCTTTGCAAAACAAGAGCCCATGTACACTTAAAAGCAGTTCAGATGGTACATTTTATGTTACCTGTATCTTACCACAATTAAAAATAAAAAATGTAAAAAAGAATAGAAGATCCCAGCAGTTACTTGGACCCACCCTCCTTAGAAGGCAGCGAATCAACCATCCACGATCACACCCGTGTGCCCCTGTGGCGTACCACGGCCCCTCCTCGGGGGCTCCCACCCACTGAGTCCTCTCCTGGACAGGAGTCCTGGTCCACACTGTTTTTTCCACCTGCTTCCATGTCCAGTGATGCTGGGGCAGGCCCTGTAGACAGCCCAGGCCACTTCCCTGCCTCCTTGGGTCTTACTTTGCTGCTGGGCCTGGGAAAGCCCTCAGCTGAAAACTGTCTGCCCTGCCCACCACCAAGGAAAGCTCCAGGACTGGATGCTTCCCCTCAGAGGAGGCACTGCTCTGTTCAATGTAAGTTTTCAAAAAATAGAGACACTCTGTGGCCCAGGCTAGAGTGCAGTGGCACGATCATTGCTCACTGCAGCCTCTAACTCCTGGGCTCAAGTGATCCTCCCTCCTTAGCCTCCTGAGTAGCTGGGACTACAGGCATCTGCCACTGTGCCCAGCTGACTTTTAAATTTTTTGTAGAGACAGGGTCTTGCTATGTTACCCAGGCTGGTCTTGAACTCCTAGCCTCAAGTGCTTCTCTTGCTGTGGCCTCCCAAAGCTCTGGGATTACAGGTGTGAGCCACAGTGCCTGACCTATTCCATGTAATCTTAAAATTTAAACTCTTCTTGGGAAAAGTACCACATGAAGTTAATACCTTCCCAACGAGGTGGTGAGATTGAGGGTGGGAGAGCATGGAAGGACACGGGAGAAACTGGGAAAGGTGAAAAGAAGAGAGGGTAGAGGGTGCAAGGGGAGACTCCAGAGAGACAGAGGCCTTCTGAGGCCCAGAAACCCAGCCATGACCGTGTTTGGGTACCCAGGGGACTGGCAGTCTGCGAACTGAACAAGTAAAATCTAAATCCCCACAGTTTAGTAGTTGCTCCGGAGCTTCAGCAAGACTAGCAACGGCGGCCAAATGAAGCCCAGGGCCGGAGTCACGATAAGTCTGTAAAGGACCAGTGAGGTCGTGTGCACCACTCCTACTTTTGATAAAAATAAAAAATTAAACCGCCACGTCTTTCTTTCACTACATGTTTGTATGAGCCCTGGCTTATTCACCAATGATGAGTAAACCGTAAGTTACTTCACCCAAACGCTTTCCTCGGAAGGGAGAAAGAATTTAGAAATGACATTTAAAAATAAAGTGATCCCAAGTGTAGCTGAGCAACAGCTTGTAAGCACGATCCTACATCTCTTCCTGAGCATTTGTAACAATTCGAAATCGCACTTGTTGGCTAGAAAGGCAAGACTGCAGCGTTCCTCACAATCCCCTCAGTGGGCTGCTTCAAAGCAGAAGTCAGGATTTCTCTGAAGAGGAGGCAAAAACTCGAAAGTGTCACAGGGAAATTATGAGGCCTCATTACGTCTCATTTCTGTACCTTGTGCTGTGGCCTCCCTCGGTCTCCTGCCCCTGCCTCGATATTTTGTGCCTTTGTGTCTTTTCTTTAAATGGCTACGATTCTGTCAAACAATGCAAAGCTGATTTTTCCCACCAAAAGCAAATCAGATCTCTTACAATCTGAAGGTCTTAGTTTACCACTTAGTGTATGCAACCATGACAATTTTCAGGACTTTCAAATGAATTTCATCTTGCCTCCTTTTCTCCCTGGCAACGTCTTATTTTAATACATTGGAGGCCTCATTTTCTTCCTCCTGAAACTTGATCCAGAACCTCGCACACTGGGCAAATGGCAGGGACGGCGGATGGTCCTACCTTGCCCAGCCCCGGGGTGTCCTTCACCTTGTTGACAGCCCTCAGCAGGCAGGGTGGGGCTGGGGGAGGGGAGGTCTGCAGAATCCCACTGAAGCTGGTTGCAAAGAGCGGTGGTTCGGCAGCGGAAGAAGTGGAAGGCCGATGTTTCTTCTTTTTAGAAGACAGATTTAACTTCTGGGCAGCTCTGGAGTGGAAAAAGGAACAATAAGGGGAAAATGATTGTACGATCAGATCTGCTAGGCTTACTTCGTTTTCTCTTAAACAACCCCTCGTTCTTTCTGAGGCCTAATCATTCCTTCTCTCCTCCTGCTCAGTGTCCTCTGTAGCAGTCCCTTACTATAACAGAGTGAAGTTAACGAGCTACCCAATCATTTATACGACAAAAGGAAAAACAAAGCCATAAAATAGCAGGATTCTGCAATCACGATTTACAAAGAATGATGTGTTATCCACCAACATTCAGCTTAAGCAGGAACAAAGCTGGGCATCTTTGGGGATAAGGGCACCCATTAAGTTCATCACTCCACAACTTCTCTGGCATAAACTCAGGTGCGAGAGACCTCATGAGCTAATTTAAAAACTCTAACACCTTGTAAAATCCAAACCAGTCTGATGAAGAACGATGTGGAGACCAGTCAAGGCATGCTATGTACAGGGCACTGGAAGAAAAACACAAGCCCCAGTGCAACAGGAAAAATCAAACTGGTTTTAGAAATATACCACCAAATCAGAAGGTGAACTCCAACCAGGGTGCAGGGCGCTGAGGCTATGGGCTGCTTACGTAGATAAGAGGATATTGTGCAGGGAGGTCTTTAAATACAAAATGCAATTCATGGTCAAGTGCGAGGAGTAAGGGGTCAAAGCACTGAAGGGGGCACAGAGTGTGAAGGCAGGGAAAGGTGGGAGGGGAGGCTGCCGGCATCATTAATAACATAGGCTGTTCCAATGACATCGTCCATCATTCAAGTGTCCTGTAACACTTAAAACATGATAATCTTGGCCAGGCACGGTGGCTCACACCTGTAATCCCAGCACTTTGGGAGGCCGAGGCAGGCAGCTCACCTGAGGTCAGGAGTTCGAGACCAGCCTGGCCAACATGGAGAAACCCCATCTCTACTAAAAATACAAAAATTAGCCGGGTGTGGTGGTGCATGCCTGTAATCCCAGCTATTCGGGAGGCTGAGGCAGGAGGATCGCTTGAACCCAGGAGGCGGAGGTTGCAGTGAGCCCAGATAGCGCCACTGCTCTCCAGGCTGGGTGACAGAGTGAGACTCCGTCTCAAAAGAAAAACAAAACAAATCCATGATCATCTTATCACAGAAAAGAAGAAGAAAACAGGGGAAGGGGCAGTGTGAGGCGAAGGCATTTCACAGACTCTAATATACTCATTTCTGGATGAATTCTTGATGTTTACACACTAAACTCTTATTCTAAGGATTCTAATTTCCTCATCAAATGTTTGAGCTGCTGCTTAAAATGAAAGGACCGCCCTGACTTTATTCTACTGATTAAAATCTTATAATTCATCCAATGTTCTTACCAGTTGCAGAACACATCACGAGAGAAGCAGGTCAGAAAGACAAAAGCAACACCGTTTGCACCGCCTCTCCCTCCCCGACCCCGGTCTCCTTCAATGGTCTGGGATAGCTGGTTTTAATTCTGTATCATTAAGTGTCATGCTTTTGATAAATTCTGAGCTAAAAAATTGCCACTGCACAAATATAGCAAATGGTGTTACCATTTCAAAGCTTAATTGTTCTCATCTGTAAAACTGAAAATCTGTTTCACAAGAGTGAAATACAGGGGGAAGAGATATGTGAGGAATTACTGATTTTGATGGGAAGATACCCTAAGTCACCCTATTGTAGGATGATGAGAAAGGGAAGGCACGGGACACTTTCTTTTCAATCAGTGAAAAGAAAAACCTAGGAATACTTTTTTTTTCATCTCATTGCTACCCTTCCTGGCACTTTCCTTCTAAAATCAAGGGTGAAATGGAATTATTCAATGACCAGTCATTCCTTTTGAAATTCTCTCCCTAAATGAACAGTGACTCATCCCAGGTCAGTCATTGGCACAAGGCATCATGGCACCTTCTAACACCCGCACACACCTCTGCTCAGCGATCCCTCCCTGCTCTCAAGCCAGCCTGCCTATGTCTCAGAGGACTAGAACAAGAAGGAAGACAGTGATCTGCCAGGAACTAAAAGATGGTGTTTATCCATCTACATTCAAGGTTCCTTTTCACAGTGTAAAAAGGACCAGGCAATGGCTATGGTTCCCACTCCCCTACCTGCTGGGGTTCCCAGTCCACATGGAGAGACAGACAGGGGAAGGGAGTGATACTGAAAGGCAGCTTAGAACGGGCAGTAGCCTCATGGCTTTTTCCTTTTTCTTATCTCTGCCACCCAGGCCCACCCCACACATCCCCTGCTGAGGAGAAAAGCGAGGATCCCTGAAAGTAAAGCACACCCCAGGATATCCCTCCAAGGTTTCCCTCCTCCCTCTCCCTCCTACAAACTTTCACGCTACTAGATCATTCCCAACAGCACATAGACATGTTGTTATTTCTCTCATCTTAAAACATAAAACACAAATCCTTCTCCTGATTCTTCCCCAGCCAGCTACTGTTCTACTTCCTTGCCCATCTTGGCCGCAAAACTCAGGGAAAGTGTTGTCTGTGCTGGCCTTCTGCAGGCCCTCTCCTTCCATTATCTATAAGCTCATTCCATTCAGGCATGTGTCCCATGACTCATCTGAAACTGCTCTTGTCTGGGTTCCCAATGACCACCATGATTGCTCAAGTTAATGGTTCTCAGCCCCATCTTGACCTCTCAGAGCAGTGAGTAGGTCCTTCCTCCTTGATACCCTTTCTGCTCGGTTTCTAGGACACCCTGGCCATTCCTTTCCAGTTTCCTTTGCTGGTTCCTTCTCTTCTGCCCAGCTTCTTAACGATGGAGGCCTCAGGGCTCAGTCCTTGTCCTCTTTACTGCTTCACTCAATCCCTTGGTGTTTTCTTCCAGGATCATGATTTAAATAACATCCTTAATGCCTATGATTAATCAATTTTTATTTCCAGCTTAGATCCCTCTCTGGAAATCCTTATTTATGTATCTAATTACCTCTTCAACAATTCCACTTGGATATCTAATAAACATCTCAAGCTTGCCAACCCTAAAACTGAAGTCCTGATGTTTTTCCTGCAAAGCTGTTACACATTCAGCATTTCCTGTATCAGAAAATGGCAATTCCATCCTTCCAATGACTTCTTCGATGCTGACCTGTCTTCTTCTCACACATAATCCATCAGGAAGTTTTGTTGGCTAAAACTTCAAAGTAGATCTGTGATCCCATCACCTCTCACCACCTTTACTACCATCTTGGTCAGAGCCACAGACTTCTCTTGCTGAATTGCTGCCACAGTCTCCTAACTTGTCTGCCATCTTCTGTACTCGCTCTCCACCTGCCTATTCACAAAGGAGCCAGAGTAACTCTTTTAAGATTTAAGTCTGCTCAAGGCCCTCCCTTTGGCTCTCCATATCACTCAGAGTAAAAGCCAAAGTACTTGCAGTGGCCTATAAAGCCTACGTGGTCTGTCCCTTCCCCCCATATCCCTCAGACCACTTTTCCTACTACTCTCTTCTTTGATGATTCTGCTCCAGTCATCCTAGCCTCCAAATATTCTTGGTCCAATCCCCATCTCAGGGCCTTTGCACAGGCTCTTGAGTCAGCCTGGAATGCTCTGCCGAGATGGAGATGGGCATATGGCTCACTCCCTCATCTCCTTTAAATCTTCGCTCAAATGTTACCTTATCCGTGAACCTACCTTGCCCATCATGGCAGACAGTCCTTTCCAAAGATGGCTGCATCCATGTGTCTCCCACAGGCACTTCTTACAACCTGACACTGATACTCTCCCCTTGAGAGGTGGGCGTCTATGTTCCTTCTTGAACCCAAGCAAAACTCTGAAATTGCCCTGGCCAACAGAATGTAATGGAAGTGATGCTGTAGAGCTTCTGAGCTTTGGATACAAAAGGCAATAATGGCCTCTCCCTGGCTTCCTTTCTTGAGACACTCACCGTGGGAACGCAGCTTCCATGCTGTGAGGAAGCCCAGGTCACATGGAGAGGGTCAAGTGGAAAAGAACTGAGGACCCCAGAAGACAGCCAGTATCAACTGCCAGACATATGAAGGAATGAGCCTTTAGAGGATTCCAGATGCCATCCTTCAAGTCTTCTGCCTGAGGTCCCAGACATCATGGAACAGAGATAAATCACACCCACTAAGTCTTATCTGAATTTTAGACCCCCAGAAACCTCGAGAGATGATAAATGATCATTGCTGCTTTTAGCCACTAAGTTTTGGGGGTAATTTGTCACACAGCCACAGTCAATAAAACACCACTCACTCCCAGACTCCTAATTTCCATTATCTTGGTTGTTCACAACCATGACACCTATTATCTTGTAACATAGCAGATGCTTTACTTGGTTACCATGTTTATTGCTTTACTGTCTGTTTCCCCTCTAGAATGTAAATTTTACCAGGGAAGAGAGCTCACGGTATGTTTTGAATGAATGAACGAAGACTACAGGAGCTGGGGATATTTAGCCTGGAGAAAAGAAACCTGGAGAAAGAGGAAGGAAAGAGTCTTTCAAGAAAGCTCTCTTTAAAGAAATGAATAAATGACATGTGGAAGTATCTTTCAAGCAAGGATGCCAGATACTTTCATAAGCCATTTTTTTGAATCTCAGAAGCCCTCGTGAGGAGAACAATATTACCCCCATTTAACAGACAAACAAGTGAAGCTCAAGGCAGTTAAATCCTGAGGCCTTTCTGACTTAGTTTGAACATCCAGCTTCCTAGATGCTAGGTAGATAATCTTAGGGAAGTTACCTAAATTCTGATAATGTTTATAAAGGCCCAAGCACAGTGCCTGGAACACAGTTGGCACATGACAATGCTATCATCATCATCATCACTATTATAAATATTATTATCAAGCCTCAGTTTCCACATAGGAAGATGAAGCAAAAATAATACCTACTTTTTTAGACTTTTTATGAGAATTTAATGACAGTACATGTAAAGCATTTAGTACACTAATCAATGATCCTTTGAAAGAATATAATAAATAATAAGTAGTAGAGCCAAGGCTGAATCTAGGCCTATGTGTCCTGTATTGTACCGTATTGTATCTGAATAGGGGTTAAACCTATGTAATACAGGTACCAAAGCAGCAGGTGAAACATAAAAGCATCTTTAGCTTGATAAGTATAAGCGACATTTCTCTCAAAATTGGAATAACCCACTAGTGATGTGTTGGCTTCATAAAATAGTGAGTGTGTTTTGTCACTGAAAATATCCAAATGGTGGGTAGAAAACTGCTTACCAGGAATACGAGGGAGAGGGATGCGTGCAGTGGGGAACCAGAATGATTTCCAGTATAGAGATTCTGCAATGACTCCTGGACTCTACTCCATTTAGGAAAGCCTCCGTTGGCTTCAATGCAGAAAAACAGTGATAGAGGAAGTCATCTTGAGAATGCATATAAAATTATTTTCTTAAAATGTGTGTATAAAATAAATATATCAGGAAATTTTCAGAATACTAAAAATTAATATAAATCACATTTTTACAGCCATAGATTCTATAATAGCATTTTATCTTTGACATCATTATAAGCAGCTGTTTGATCTTTTTTTATATATTCCAATGTCTTAGAGGTCAGCAGCTTCAGTTCTTTTCATATAGCACTTCAATGACACAGAGAAGAGAAGGTTAAGGTTGAGAAATCATTCACGTATAATTGTATTATTTAGGGACATAAAGGAGAGGCAGTCATGAGAGAATTGAAAAGGTAAAGACGGCCAGGTGCAGTGGCTCACGCCTGTAATCCCAGCACTTTGGGAGGCCGAGGTGGGTGGATCACTTAAGGTCAGGAGATCGAGACCAGCCTGACCAACATGGTGAGACCCCCATCTCAGCTAAAATCCAAAAACTAGTCGAGCATGGTGGCACATGCCTGTAATGCCAGCTACTCGGGTGGCTGAGGTGGGAGAATCGCTTGAACCTGGGAGGTAGAGGTTGCAGTGAGCCGAGATCGTGCTGCTGCACTCCAGCCTGGGTGACAGAGCAACACTCCATCTCAAAAAAAAAAAAAAGAAAAGGTAAAGACATTTTGATTAGAAGTATATTTTATGTAATTAATGCCTGATAAGTTCTTTCTTTCATAGGAAAAAATGAATGGGTTGTTTTATAAGATTTCCAGTAGCAGAAAAATTAACTTAAAAACTACCATAACTTAAAAACTACTTGTCTTATTCTTACCAAGGATAGTACAATATATTTCCTAAAGCTATTTATCCCAGCATACATCTTTAAACATCCATTAGCTTCATATAATTATCTGTGCCTTATTTCAAGGAAAAAGTCTCTCTAGCAGGATGAAATTAATATTTCCTGAACACCTATAAAAAAACAAAAAGTGGGCCAGGTGCGATGGCTCACACCTGTAATCCCAGCACTCTGGGAGGCCGAGGCAGGCAGATCACGAGGTCAGGAGTTCAAGACCAGCCTGGCTAACATGGTGAAACCCCATCTCTATTGAAAATACAAAAATTAGCTGGGCATGGTGGCGCACACCTGTAATCCTAGCTATTTAGGAGGTTGAGGCAGGAGAATTGCTTGAACCTGGGAGGCAGAGGTTGCAGTGAGCCAAGATCACGCCACTGCACACCAGCCTGGGGGACAGCACGAGACTCTGTCTCAGAAATAAAAAAAAAAAAAGTGGTGCCACACTGAGCATTATCAGGCAGTGAGGAGAAGAGCAGTAGCCTGTCCTTGGCTAGAATGTCCCAGTAAGCTCAGTCTTCCCTCTGAGTGCCAGTCCTTTCTCTCCATAGCCTCACTCATCTCACACCCAAGACAATTCTCCTAATGCATCAATATGACAATATCTGAATTCAAGGATCAGTTTAGAACTGAAATGAACTTCACATAGGATGGTTACTTGCTCTCATTGGCCAGATCTACCCAAACCTAAAAAAATGAGGTCCACACTCATCTGGTGGATTCAATGGCTTTAAGTGCAGGGAAAGTCTTAGGTCTCAATTATGTAGATTAGAGGGGGAACTTGATTTTGACTTTTTTTTTTTTGTAATTGTATAATAGACTATTTGTCAGACTATTACCCTGGATTGTGAGAACTGCAGGGTGTTCAAATGGAAAACCCGTCATTCTAAGTGCATCTCATGAGAATTAAATTGAAATCTCCTATCCTTAGTGTCTAAAGATTACTAAAATATTGACCTAGCAATCTTTTAAAAATTATTAGCTTCATGAAGAATAGAACTTTCCTTGGGGCACAGACAGGAAAATCAGGCAATATGGTAATTTTTAAGGACCTCTATATCTTTAAAAGTTTCAGGAATACTGTGTGTTCCTAACCCTATCCTAAGAATATTTCATCTTGTCTGAGGGGTGCTCAAGTGTGGGATGCTCAAATAGGTGGGTAAAGTGTTTATAAAATTTAAGAGGTCATTCGAGCTCTACAAATCCAACCCAGGTAATTGATGGGTGAGATATCAACTGAAAAACTGTGAGACTCTCAGAGCCACTGCACCTGCTGAACAGAAAGGGTCCCGACCCAGGACAGGGGTGGCAGATGGACAGTCTCCCCTGTCAGCATGTAAAGGACAATCCAGGCTGCCATTTCATGTGAAAATGGCCAGTGCTGCTGTGGGCTGCCATGGCTCACGTGCCATTATAGAACTATTTCAATGTTCTGAGGATTAAGGCTATCTGATAATAAGCAATGACAAGACAGATCACAGCAGCCCCTAGAAAAACCATCCGGTCCATGACACAGTGGGAGAAGGTAATAAAACAGATTATAAACAGCAGGGATAGGGAACAAGATCCTACGTTCTGAGGCAGAGCTCCCAGACACAGTGAAGATATTCATCCACATGTAACAAACACCATTAATGCTTTATTATGAAATAACACCTACTTAAAAGTATTTGGGCATAGCCAAGAAGCACGCTAGTCATTCTGGAACTTCTCCGTATCGGGAATAAGAGCATCCACCTTCACCTTTGTATTTTCTAATTGGCTGTCAGGGAGGTCATTTCCATGGCTCTAGAGATTGAAAAGCATATGGGGCTGGGGTTTTTTTTTTCCTGATTTTTATGTAAATTATCTATTTCATTAGTGCAGGAAGGTAATTCATGACATGACTTCAAATAACATGTTTACTGCTAGGAGGCAAACATGGTGGCCATTAGCCTCAAACAATATCATGTTAAAATACTACAGCCAGGCACTGTTATCATTTGGAAATGGATTGACATTTGCATGTTAATGCACAGAGTTAACCAATGGAAATCATCGCTGTGAATTTACCCTTAAAAATTTCCCCTCACGCCTGTAATCCCAGCACTTTGGGAGGCCGAGGCAGGCGGATCACGAGGTCGGGAGATCGAGACCATCCTGGCTAACACGATGAAACCCCGTCTCTACCAAAAATACAAAAAATTAGCTGGGCATGGTGGCGGGCGCCTGTAGTCCCAGCTACTCGGGAGGCTGAGGCAGGAGAATGGCGTGAACCCGGGAGGCAGAGCTTGCAGTGAGCCGAGATCGCGCCACTGCACTCCAGCCTGGGCGACAGAGCAAGACTCTGTCTCAAAAAAAAAAAAAAAGAAAAGAAAAGAAAAGAAAAGAAAAGAAAAAAGAATTTTCCTATGCTTCAAGGACTTGTAGAAGTTGCCCTCATCAGTGACTTCAGCCCCCGTGGATCATTGTCCTTCCCCTTGAAGTCTTATAGCAGTTGTCTTTTTGTTGTTTGCTTTGTTTTTTTCTTAAGGACAGGGTCTGGCTCTGTCACCATGCTGGAGTGCTGTGGCATGATCATAGCCCACTGCAGCCTCAAACTTCTGGGCTGAAGTGATCCTAGAGAGTAGCGAGGACTACAGGTGTGCCCCATCATGCCTGGCTAATTGAAAAAGGTTTTTTGTGTAGAGACAGGGACTCACTTTGTTGCCCAGGATGGTCTTGAACTCCTCGCCTCGAGTGATCCTCTCATCTCAGCCTCCCAAAGTGCAGGAATAACAGGTGTGAGCCACTGCACCTGGCCAGCAGTTGGTCTTGAGATGATCTATCTTATGTTTTAATGCTTAATGACAGGGTGCTTGACCATGTGGCCTTTTGCTTCTGCCTCGCCACCATCACTGCACTGTTCACTTATTCAGGGTCCATGCCATGTGTTTACTTTCTTCTATAGGCGCAGACCTGCCCTATGGCTCTGTGCCCTGCTGGAGGACAGTACTTCTTAGTCAATCCAGCCTTTGGAATTATACTAACAGACTCAGAGTTCCAAGATTAAGTAGCCTGGAATTCTAGACAATGCTTAGACCTTGGATTTTTTTTTTCTTAAAACATTTTCTATACATCATCACATCCATCCTTAACCTGGCCCTGGGAGGCCAGCAGAGAAGGTATTTGTACCACACATTACGGGTTGAAAAAAAAGAACGAGGCCTGGCAAGTTCCCTGACTTTAGCCATGGCCACAGGGCTGCTGACTCTCAGACCTGGGACTTGCATTCGTGTTTCCATCCTCTAAATCCAAGGCCTTTCTACTACATCATGTTAATTTTGGTAAATGAAAGCAGTTATTTTATTTGGGCAAAATAAAACCAAATGATAATCATTTATCTAATAATGAAGATAAAAAACCATTTACATATTTTTGTATGTAACTCAAATCAAATCATATTATACATAAGCACTTACCAATTACTGATCTGGTTGCTTAGCAACATATCTCCATATTATAGGGGGAAAATGTCTCAGTACAGTGAGTTAGGTCGTGGCCAGAATTAGGATATAAAAGGGAAATTATAACAACTACTACCACCACAAGACAACATTATTATGGCCACCTTCTACTGCCTCCTGAACCTCCCCCCACATACACAGAAAGAATGCTGGAAGCTGCTTAAAACGAATCTCAGTGTTCCGGGAAACTCAGTCCATCAGTATTTATTGAATGATAATCACAGACAAAGAACTATGCAATCAATAAGCTATAAATATCACTAAAGCCATCTTTGGTTCACCCAGCAGCTGCTCTGTATTAGAGTCTACTCCTAAATTGCACAGATGAGAAGCATCTACACCACCAAATGTTATTGATAACTTTATATTGGCTCCACAGCAGAGATAAAGAACTGGGAGAAGCCTGAAGACACACAGCAGGTAAACCCACTACAGCTGAAGAGCTTTACTCTCTGGTAGGAGCTGAAAGATTTTCCTGAATTGTGTCATCTGGGCAGCACACATAAAAACATGTGAAGTCTGTTTTTCTGGGCCTCGCTAATTTCACTTAACATAATGACCTCCAGTTCCATCCATGTTGTTGCAAATGGCAGGATCTCATTCTTCTTTATGGCTGAAGAGTACTCCATTCTGTATATGTACCACCTTTTCTTTATTCATTTGTCTATTGATGGATGCTTAGATTGCTTCCAACTCTTGACTATTGTGAATAGTGCTGCAATAAACATGGGAGCTTGGCTATCTCTTTGATATACTGACCTCCTATCCTTTGGATAAATACCCAGTACTACCATTGCTAGATTGCGTGGTAGTTCAATTGTTAGTTTTTTGAGGAAGCTCCAAACTGTTCTCTACAGTGGTTGTACTAATTTACATTCCCATCCACAGTGTATGAGGGTTCCCTTTTCTCCACATCCTCACCAGCATTTGTTATTGCCTGATTTTTGGATAAAAGCCATTTTAACTGTGGTGAGATGATAATCTCATTGTAGTTTTGATTTGCATTTCTATGATGATCAATGAATGATGTTGAGCACCTTTTCATGTACCTGTCTGCCACTTGTATGTCTTCTTTCGAGAAATGTCTATTCAGATCTTTTGCCCATTTTTAAATTGGATTATTAGATTTTTTTTTCCATAGAGTTGTTTGAGCTCCTTATATATTCTGGGTATTAATCCCTTGTCAGATGGATAGTTTGCAAATATTTTCTCCCATTCTGTGGGTTGTCTCTTCACCTTGTTGATTGTTTCCTGTGCTGTGCGGCAGCTTTTTAACCTGATGTGATCCCATTTGTCCGTTTTTGCTTTGGTTACCTGTGCTTGTGGGGTGTTCCTCAAGAAATCTGTGCCCAGTCCAAATGCCCTGGGGGGTTTCCTCAATGTTTCCTTTCGATAGTATAAACCAATTTTTAAATAAAAGCTATTCAATGTAAAACCTTCTCCTTTGTTTAAAGCCAAGTAACTACGAATGTTTGCTGAGCCAAGTTCCCTGTGTGAAAATAGACACTTTTGTACACAAAAATAAAGCAGAAAATATTTAATTAAAAAAATAGTCATTGGCATGGAAGGCTAAACAGAAGTACAAAGCAAGAGTTTGTTATTTCCTGGCTGCAGAGATCTGGATTTTAGAAAGACCAAATAAATACTCCGTCGGTGGCAGAATCCATGCCTTGCTGGGGGCTTTTGTCTCAGAAGTTCAAAGGGAAGCACCCTCTGCCTCTGTTTCTGATAAGTGTATTTACTAAGAAACCATCTGATGCTGTGGTTTTTCAGGGTTGGTGAAGCTGCTGCAATGAATATTGGGATTCTAAGCATGTTAAGAATGACTCTTCTGCTTGCCTTGCCAGGGGTTAACCCCTCTCGGCTCATTATACAGCAGCTGCTCAGTACCCCGCTGCCCCACAGTCTCGGCTCACCTCTGGCCAGACGACAGCAGGATAGCAGACACTGCAACCGATCTTCACAGCTTCCTTTAATATTTTGTATGACGGGGACTCCGATGGAGCGGCCTTACTAATGACTAAGACGCCATCTGCAAAAGCTGGGCTTCAGGACCCAAGAGAAGGTTGAGGACTTCTGCACTAATGAATCTAATTTTGTCCAGAACTTGACAAGTTGGTGCCACACTCTGTGGGCACCTAAGAACATATCGATTGTCTCATTGCACTTTTCTATTTCTGTCTGTCCAGCAAACCTAGTAAGTCAGACCCAGATACTGCCTAGACAACAAGTTCTAGGTCAAGATCTAGAGAAAAACACTCATTAAAACAGAGAAGTTCTGTTTCTGAGAGTTGGATGACCTCGGGAAGGTGGCGACTTGCTCTAAGCCACAGCAACCATTCATATTTTTAAGAGAGAGCATGCTCCACATTTTTAAGGACACTGGAAGATGAAATAACCCAAAACTTATTCCCAATTCCTGTGGAATAGAAAAGTTCAAAGGAACATTTTACCAATGTATAAACTGCCTTTGATGCCACGTGACATATGGGTTGACATGTGATTCCATAGCTTAGAGCTGCTTCATTGCCCATGCATGAATATTTATCTCCACCCACACCTACAAAGCTACCCTTCCTTTGCTCCCTGCTGTCCTGGAGGGGTGGGCTCCAACCTGCCAGTACACAGTCACAAGATCTTCATCAGGGAGGAGAAAAGCAGAAGTACGTTGGACAATGAGAGGTAAAAAGTCCCTACTTGAGAAAGCACAGCGGGCAGGATCCCTCACACTATCCTACCTGTGAACAGAGTTTTGCCTGCTGCCTGACCTCCTGACAGCCGCCGTGCACCTGGGTAACTGATGACCTGGCCACGCCTATACCCCAATTCTACTCGCTCTTCTTCCTGCTGTTTAGCCTGTGCGGAGCCCTGGGTCTCGGTCTTCCCAGATGCCCCAGCTTCTTTATTTTAGCTTCCTGATCTGCATCTCGGCTTCTGCTTGCTTGCCAGACATCCACTTGCAAGCCTCGGCGCCAGTGTGGGTGGATCTTTCTTTTTCATCTGCACTTAGGTGCACACGTACTTTTCCCTGTGCCAGCTGACCTTTTGACCATCAATCCGTTCTTATCGGATGCTCCCTGACTGCAGGTCTTTATGTTCCTGGCCTGATCTGCCCACCCCCAGGCCTGCTTAGTACCAGGGAAACTTAATAGCTTCTTGCCTTTTCCTAAGTTCCACCTAGTATGCAATTATGGAAACTGGGCTTAATACATAAATTAAAAGAACTGTAAACACCTAAGACACCAGATCCATTTAAACATGCATTAAAAAGCCATCCCGGGCCGGGCGCGGTGGCTCACGTCTGTAATCCCATCACTTTCGGAGGCCGAGGCAGGTGGATCACGAGGTCAGGAGATCGAGACCATCCTGGCTAATGCGGTGAAACCCCGTCTCTACTAAAAATACAAAAAATTAGCCGGGCGTGGTTGCAGGCGCCTGTAGTCCCAGCTACTCGGGAGGCTGAGGCAGGAGAATGGCATGAACCCGGGAGGTGGAGCTTGCAGTGAGCCGAGATCACGCCACTGCGCTCCAGCCTGGGCGACATAGCCAGACTCCATCTCAAAAAAAAAAAAAAAAAAAAAAAAAAAGCCATCCCAAAGCCAGATATAAATGATTTTAGTTAACTGACGTTATTCCTATCTTTCATGAACATGAATGATAGTGAACTGGCTGGTCTTATTAAATGGAATTGATGAAACCATGTACCTACAACCCAGCTATTTCGGTTGCCTATAAATATAGACAGAGAAAGACAATCACCGGCTAATTAAAGTCCATTCCTCATGGAATGTCAGTGCCTGATTTTTCGGCTGAGAAGCAATTGTCTATAAAATATGTACGTATATCTTTTCTAGTTTAAGGACTATCCAACTAAAATTAAGATTCCTTCAAGGGATAAGCATATCCCAGATAATCTGATTTCAAGAATCGAAGGAATCTAATGTTCTTTTCATTACACCATGCTGCCTTTTAGATGCTAGCTCCAAGTTTCTAGTTAAATCATTTATACATATGCTAATTTAATGCTAAAAGGAAGAAGCTGAATGGTCTACCATAAACAGAGAGCCCGCCTAAAAGCCAAGAGTGACCACTCATTCCTTTAGAGTTTTCCTTAGTATTTATCTTCCTTCACCGTTTGATAGAAAATTATCTTGAACAGCATGAGAAACCGAAAAGAAGTAGTGTTGTTCACTTTTAATGTCTTTATTTTGAAAGAAATAGAGCTTTATTTTGAAAAGAAGTAGAGCTTTATTTTCACTTTTCCCATATTTCAATTGTGTGAAATTAAAAACGGACATGAAATCACACACTTCAGATGTAATTTGTTGCCTGAAGCAACAAACCACTATCAAGGTGTGATAGCTAGAAATGGGCAGCCTTCGCAGAGCGAGTAAAGCCTTTAATCCGTAACTCTTTGCTGGGTACCTGTAGCTCTTTCAGAGCAAAGCTAATTAATTGTCAACGCTGGGTGACATGCTCTGTGGTTTGGGGGCGTCTTGGTTAATTAAATTTGAATTTAAGAGTCTCATTTGCTAGAGGAAGTAATTTCTTTTCCCCCCTTTCATTCTAATATTTTTATTTAACAAATTATTTACTGTAGTTGAAACCTGAAGAAATCATTAAGGTTATTTCAAAGGAAAACAATTTGCATGGGACCTCTGCATTGTACAAATAGGTACCAGACACAGAAGTCGGGCAGAATTTCTGCCCTTGACTCTGCTGAAAAGCTGGACTGCACCAAGACCTGGGCAGATGTTTAGATGGCTGGTACCTTAGCAGCCCCACTAGAGGCAGAGAGGCAGAAATTCACATCCCCTCCTTTCCTGTCTATGCTACCGTCAGGTTACCTGGGCTGGAGTGTTTGCAGATTGCTAAAAACCATGGCAAAATTACACTGGGCAATAAAGGACACTCATCACAGGCAGGTCCAAAAAGCTGTGAAGCAAGGAAAGGAGGCAGCTTTTGTTTTTAATAGAGAAGAAATCTTCAGGAAGATTTAGTTCAAATTTTCTAGTTAATTGTAAAGAAACCAGGCCCTGTTGAGCTGCATATTTAAGTAATGTTTACTTTAATGGACATGTTATTTGTAGGCAGGTGACATTTACAATATGTAAAGGTAATTTTTAATGCTATGGATACTGTTAGTTATTAGAATCCTAGGTTAAATAATTTCCATTTTTTTTGGCAGAATCTGGAGCAAAATTACATTATTTTAAGTACTCAGATAGGTTTAAAATACTATCTCAACTTTACTAACACATTGTTAATTATAACTAATTCTACAACACTAAATCCTTGGCTAAGAATAAAATCACTATGCCTTATATTATTATGAGAAAATAATATTTATGTTTTGATGGCGCTTCTAGGAACAGATTGTGTGAAAAGAAGAAAATACTTGTTCTCTAAATCAGAGCCATCCAGCTGCGTCTGTGAATATATTCAGGTGCAATTGGATAGAATGTAACTCATGTTATATAATCAATCAACCAATCAATCATCTTTTCCTTGTGTGAATTCCCACGTTTACACAACAGCTAGGCTTTGACAAGTTGCCTGTAATTTGAGATTTTATAAATTGAATCTTATTTCACATTGATTTCTATTAAAATTTCACAGACATCTTATCTGTATGTATGCTATTCAATTGAGAAGGGCTACAAACACTTTATCTTTAAATAACTGTGCTTTCTCTCTATCCTGTCCAACAAATCACTAATAACAACAAACACTGAGTCGTTCAATGCTGTATTTAAAAACACACAGAACTGACTCCTAATACGTGACTGACTGCCAAGAAATGGCTTAGAAATATATAAGATTCTTCACTTCCTACGTGAGCCTTTGCCTCCATAGACAGAAATAACTTACTTTCAAGATAGACAGTCTTGGCTTAGATCTTCATTTAGAGTATTTGGATATAAAAAATAGTTGATCCCAGTTTTCAGATTTGAGAGTCTTCTGCATGAAGCTGGCAGCTGGAGTTATGAGAGTGGATGAGATGACCCAGGGAGGTGCAGAGTAGAAGGCAAGCAGAACACAACCCGTGACAGATCCATGAAAATCCTCAATACTTCATGAGTGAATATAAAAGAGAAGATTACAAAGGAGCAGCCAGAGAGGTAAAGAGGAAGACGGAACAAGTGGCTAAGAATGTTAAATGCCCCTGAGAGACCAAAAAAGACAGAGAATGCAAAGTGTCCCTTGGATTAGAATTAATGAGTTCATTATTGACCTTGAACAGAATCAGAGGAAACACGGAGCACATTTCAGTGGGTTGAGAAGTAAATAGGGGTGGAAGAAGTAAAGATAAGGGGGGCCTCGGCTATTCTTTTGAGAAATTAAACTATGAAAGAAAAAAACATAAAATATTAAATTGTTAAGTATTTACCTAACTGCCTTAGACTGAATTATGAAGCTAAGATATGGCTTTGTTTTTTATAGAGGTTAATAGTTAACATAGAAGCATTTACAAAAAACAGTTACTTAGCTTATAAAATTAAAGAAGATATCCTTCATCTTATTATCCATGCATTTATTTACTCATGTTATTCCATAAACATTGATTGAATACCTACTTTTCATAGGTTACTATGATTTTACCCAATGTTCTCTACATAGGGATCCATTTTTTAAAAAATCCTCAAAGGAAGACTAGGTATCTCCAGACAAATCATATGTCACTTTATTGGGTAAGAATAATAAAACCTAAACCTAGTAAAAAAATACATACAGGCTTTGGAGTCAAATAGGCTTGGTTCAAATCCTGCCTCTGCCACATACTTTGATGTGGATGAAAATAACGGTAACTACCTCAAGGGTCTGTTGTGAGAATAAAGGGCGTAAGGTATGGGAAAGTGGCCAACAGAATGATCTGCACACAGTGGGAGCACACTAAATGCTTTTGTTCCCTTCCCCTATCTTTTACTCCTTTGTGATCCATTTGCCTTAGCGTCCATAAAATTCAGAGCCTAAGAAATGTCCAAGTACAATAACCAAGCTGGTCTAGGAACCGGTGTCTTTTTCTCTCTCCTCCTAACTGGTTCCCAATATATATTTTAAGATTTAAATTATTTTACAAATATTTAATGAGTTGTGTTAAATCATTTTGGGGAAATTGGTAAGGTATAAATCTTTAAACAGAAATTATATGTGACTATTCTGTATTTATTAGTCTTCTAGGTAATTTTTTTCTCACACTTTTATCAAGTTTGCCAAGAGGGGCTCACATCTAATGGTATACTGTATGCTGACATTGGATTAATCAATCCTTGTTCTTTCAAAGTTAGGTGGCTCAAAATTAGATGTTGCTGTGGTCTGAATGTTTATGTCCCTCTTTAAATTCATAAGTTGAAATCCTAACCCACAAGATGATGGTATTTGGAGATGGGGCATTTAGAAGGTGATTAGGTCATGAGGGTGGAGCCCTGGTGAATGGGATTAGTGCCCTTAAAAAAGGAGCCCAGGGAGCTTGTTTGCCCCTTCTGCCATGTGAAGACACAGCGAGAAGGCACCATCTGTGAACCAGAGTGGGCCCTTACCAGACACTGAACCTGATGGTCTCTTGATCTTTAACTTCTCGGCCTCTAGAACTGTACAAAATAAACTTCCGTTGTTTATAAATTTAGACTATGGTATTTTTGTTATAACGACCCAAAGGAACTAAGACAGGTATTGTCTGTGATTCTAGATTATCTACAGATACTCTGTTTAACTCAATCTAGAGTAGAGAATTGCTCAAGGGCACTTTTAAGCTGATGACTTCAACAGGGCTCATAAAGTCTAAAATGAAATGTGATTGGAGAAAAGAATTGTGTAAATTGAGAATATGGGACCAAATAAATGCTTTAGCAAGCATTTATTTAGTAATATAGTACTTTAGTATTTCAGAGTTCTCCCAAGAGAGGCAGAAAAGAGAAATAGTCAAGCGTACAGGATGCGAAGCCAACTGTGTGGTTTCAAATCTTCTTTCTGACACTCAGAGCTCTGTGGCCATGGTCAAGTTCCTTAACTTTCCTGTGCCACAGTTTCCCCAGCTGTAAAACAGGATGGTAAGAGTAGCTAGCCTCATGGAATTGTTGCAAAGTTCAAATAAGATTATCAGAACAGTTCCTGACGCAGAGTAAACACCTGGTAGGTGTTTGCTCCCATTATTGTTAAAATAAAACATTAATATGAAAACTATATCCTAAGTGTCTCCGTTTAGACATTTTTTCTTAGCAGCTTCTTAGAATATGAATCCTAAAGAGCAAGGTGAAAGGGATGCCTTTGCTGTAAGCCCTGCTACATCACAAGTCAGCTCTGAAGATTTCCCCCAGACCCTGTCGACACCACAACTGGCTGTAGAATATTGACTCCCATGTCAGTTTCAGGTCCTGGACATCCTGAATATAAGTTTTGGTTGTGCAGTTGGCTGGGAGGGTCTCGTTTCTAGTCAAAAAAGGACATTCTCAATTTGAGCTGATAAACTGGGGTCTTCCACAGCCTTAAATCAGCTGTCAGGGAAATCTCCTGTTAGTGCAGTTGCTTTGCCCTGAAAACCACCAGCTGAAACTAGATTCTTATGTCAACCATGTGTCTGCAGTTTTTGTGTGCTGGAGGCAATTACTTACTTGGTAGTTCCTCCTCTGACAGTGTGTCCCCATGCCAGATGAACAGGGACAGGACAACTGATTGTCAACCTCACCAGGATGCTGTAGGCAGTGTTCTGAGGCACTTAGAGAGCATGTGCGCAAAATCAATACATATGCAAAACAAAATGCTGTGTTAAGCTAACTAACACAGCTGGCCCACATCTAAATTGGGCATAGGCAGTATCATTTTCTTTAATGCACTGGAAATAAGTTGTGCTGGTCACAAAGGCTGACAGAGCCTGATTGCTATGTCCCTCATGCCCCCAGGCATCTACCAGCGTGGTCCATGGTCAAGATGAAAAATGGACCAGGCCGGGCGCGGTGGCTCACACCTGTAATCCCAGCACTTTGGGAGGCCAAGGCGGGCAGATCATGAGGTCAGGAGATCGAGACCATCCTGGCTAACACGGTGAAACCCCGTCTCTACTAAAAATACAAAAAATTAGCCGGGCATGGTGGCGGGTGCCTGTAGTCCCAGCTACTTGGGAGGCTGAGGCAGGAGAATGGCGTGAACACGGGAGGCAGAGCTTGCAGTGAGCCGAGATCGCACCACTGCACTCCATCCAGCCTGGGTGACAGAGCAAGACTCCATCTCAAAACAAAAAAAAAGAAAAATGGACCAAAAGGGTACAAAAGCACCTTACCGCTTCTTACAATGGGCTGTAATTATTTGTGTCTTCCTCACAAGACTGAACATTTCATAAGGTCAGGAGCCATGTCTATCTTTCCTACAACTGCATTCCCCAAAATTGCCTTGTCTATAGTGAGCACTACACAAATACAGACGGATGAGTGGATGGTCAGAACTGGCTCAAAATCACTGACACCACTGAAGAAGTAAGCCTTGTTGCATGTCTTCCCAACAGGGTCAGCCTGGGGGTCCTTCCAGTCTTCCCAGCCACAGAATGGTTTGGAAACATTGGTCTAGGTGGAGGTAGACTTATACTCAAGGATTGCGCTAGCTCAGAGGTTTTACAAGGCTATGGTTTGGAATATATCTGGATGTATAAGTATCTAAATATTTTCCAAAACAAGCCTGTCAGATTATATTAACAGACTCTTCATCATCTATAGGGAAGATGGTTATTTTTATTGTATAGAAGCATGAGATTCTGTTTATTGCTTTTTTTTTTTTTTTAAGACGGAGTCTCGCTCTGTCACTCAGGCTGGATGGAGTGCAGTGGTGCGATCTCGGCTCACTGCAAGCTCCGCCTCCCGGGTTCACGCCATTCTCCTGCCTCAGCCTTCGGAGTAGCTGGGACTACAGGTGCTCGCCACCACACCTGGCTAATTTTTTGTATTTTTAGTAAAGACGGGGTTTCACCGTGTTAGCCAGGATGGTCTTGATCTCCTGACCTCGTGATCCGCCCGCCTCGGCCTCCCAAAATGCTGGGATTACAGGCGTGAGCCACCACGCCCAGCCTGTTTATTGCTTTTTAACGGGTACAGCACAGTCCAACCTCTTAAGCATTCCCCAGGTTCACCAGTATCCTTGCTTTTCTGCCTCCATATCCACACCAACTAAAATACACCCTACAATGTTACAATGACATCATCTTATGGGTTAGGATTTCAGCTTATGAATTTAGAGGGAGACACAAACATTCAGACCACAGGGAACATTCATCCTACAATGTTCCCTAAGGGAAAGGCATGTGGTCCGGGCTGATCATTAATAGGGAAAGGCATGTGGTCAGGGCTGATCATTAATATTGCCCTTTCTGATGTAAGTTCCATGAGAGTGAGGCCTTTTATTTTCTTAACTGCCAGGAATGGTGCATGCTATGCAGTGGATACTCAATAAACACTTACAGAATGGATGGATGGATGGATGGATGGATGGATGGATGGATGGATGGATGGATGGGTGGGTGGGTGGATGGATGGATGGATGGATGGATGGATGGATGAATGGGTGGATGGATGGATGAATGGGTGGATGGATGGATGGATGGATGGATGGATGAATAGATTGTGTTTGTCTTTAAGGTTTGCTGACTTCTTAATGATGACAACACGTAAAATATTTCTTGGTATGGGTTTCTTCAGGCTATCATGTTCATAAAACAAATACAATTATTGTGTTCATTGTAATAATTGTTCCACATTATCATTAGTCTGTGTCCAACATGTGTTTTCCCAAGCCTCTGGGAGAGGGGTTTTTTGAAGTTGCCAGTCAAAGCAGATATGCTCACTGTGTTCTCTATGAGTTAAAGGTTGTAGACTTGTGCTTCATAAGGACAATTCCAAAAGTCAATTTGATTCGATTATTTTTTTTTTCCTATTTCTGGCCTTTAGAAATCACTTGCTGCCAGACTAGCTGGGGAAGGGCTCTCTCTCTCTCTCTCTCTCTCTCTCTCTCTCAGTTAGTTGAGTATTTAATTTTAGTTTACACTACGAAAATTTAATTTTTAAAAAATGTAGATATTTTTCAAAATTATATTTTCAGGGTAATTAAATCAATGATATTCTTGTACTTGAACAATATGTTCTTATTAGGCTATCAACTAATGACAACAATTCAACAATTCAATTTTAAACTTGTTCTGCATTTCTTCAAAATAAAAACATGGGCTAAACCAAATACAGTCATGCACCGTATAACGTTTCAGTCAAGGACGAACCACATATATACTGGTGGTCCCATAAGATAATCTTATTTTTACTGTACCTTTTCTGTGTTTAGATATGTTTAGGGACACAAATACTTACCATTGTGTTACAAATGGCTACACTATTCAGTACAGCAACAGTCCTACCCTCTAGCCTAGGTGTGTAGGAGGCTATACCATCTAGATTTGTGGAAGTACACTCCATGATGTTCAAACAACAACAAAATCACCTAATGATTCATTTCTCAGAACACATCCCCATCATTCAGTGACACATGACTATACTTAATTTTTTCTTTTCTTTTTTTTTTTTGAGATGGGGTTCTACTCTGTCACCCAGGCTGGAGTGCAGTGGTACCACCTCGACTCACTGCAGCCTCTGCCTCCTGAGTTAAAGCAATTCTCTTGCCTCAGCCTCCAGAATAGCTGGAATTACAGGCACCCACCATCACACCTGGCTAATTTTTGTATTTTTAGTAGAGATGGGGTTTCACCATGTTGGCCAGGCTGGTCTTGAACTTCTAACCTCAAGTGATCCGCCTGCCTCAGCCTCCCAAAGTGCTGAGATTACAGGTGTGAGCCACTGTGCCTGGCCTCACTGTACTTAATTTTTACCTAACCTTTTTTCTCTGTTGGATACTCAAACTTCTTAACTAAAACAAATGAGACTGTATAAATCTGTTACTAAATATAGTAAATATTCTATTACAGGACACAGTCATCCATTTCACTAGGAAATAAGTTTCCATCTTCTGAACTCTAATAACTCTCATTATATTTTTAAAATAACTTCCTATGTGTATTATTTACCTATATGTCTTACCTCCTTTCAAAGCTCTAAGCTTCTGCGGGGTAAAGCCAGTATCTTATTCAAATATTTATCCTCCATGTTACAAGGGCTTTATGAACACTGGTTGAATGACAGAAATCATGCACAAAGGGATCCGGGAGTGAGTGTGTAAGAGTGTAGCAGTCCTCACTAACTAGCTCATGGACTCTTAGCAGCTTCCTTACCCAGAACATCATTCTTCAAAGATTTGAAAATCCACAAAATACATGATCTCTAAGGTCTCTCCCAGCTCTGAAATGCTATTGCTCTGTAACCACCGCGGCGTTCTGACTCGTGACTAAAAGCATCCAAGATGTTGTTCTACACTTCTTTGGTGTTTTAGAAGGCTTATCAGTATTTTTTCCCACTATTGTGAGTTTTGGGAATTTACCTTAATAAAGTAACTGGTACCAGAATGCTGGCAGTCAGTGTTTACTACAATTGTAAAAAAGCCTTTCAGTTGCCTAAAACACGGTATAAAATCCCATGCTTTTTACTATAGATAGTTTCCAAGGGACGACTTAGGACTTTTCAAGTGAAATCAAGTTGTTTAGACTTTATCTCCTCTTCTTTCTCCTGAATAGTTTTTCCTTCTCAAGCAAGGATTTTTAGAAATGGATATACTAATACCAGCTCAAGATAAATAGGTACAACATGAACAAGTAGCGTAGGTTGACTCAGTAACAAAACCCAGGTGTGGGCCCATTATTGACCCATGATCTACTGTTTCCAGGCAGCTGTGATTGGTCTTCATCACCATTATAACATCCTATTTAAGGTGATCTATTACTAATCATTGCCTGTTTTGAGAATCTGAAAAATACGTTGTCTTAGTCATCAGGAAATATGAATAAAATTACATGACACCTGCTGGGTGCGGTGGCTCACGCCTGTAATCTCAGCATTTTGGGAGGCTGAGGCAGGTGGATCACAAGGTCAGGAGTTCAAGACCAGCCTGGCCAAGATGGTGAACCCTCGTCTCTACTAAAAATACAAAAATTAGCCGATTGTTGTGGCAGGCGTCTGTAATCCCAGCTACTTGGGAGACTGAGGCAGAGGATTGCTTGAACCCAGGAGGTGGAGGTTGCAGTGAGCCGAGATCGTGCCACTGCACTCCGGCCTGCGCGATAGAGTGAGACTCATTCTCAAAAAAAAAAAAAAAAAAAAATTACATGACACCATTCACTTTCATGGTCCTGTGCATACACAGAGAATCATGCCAATTCCTCTGCCCAAACGCCCTCCCTTCCCAGCCACCTCCTGCTCATTCTTCTAGACCCAACTCTAATATGACTCCTTCCCTCCGAAGCAGAATTATTCATCTCTTCCATATGTTCCGTGCTAGCAGAGCTACCTTGTGGCTTATCACCGGTATTATAGTTGGGATAATTTGTATGTTCACTCCTCTCTTTGATTCATTTCTGAATCTCCAAAACTTTACACAGCACCTATAATACATCAAGCGCTCAATAAATGTTTGTGTGGCAAATATCTGCTTCCTGCCCTCCATTTGGTCTACAGGTCTCTATTTTCATATTAAACTGTTGACTGGATTTTTCCTAAACTGCCAATACAGTTTCAAAAGCATAATGCAACAGAGATTAACATTTGTATTGATTTAGTCATTGTCGCCAAAAGCTAAATGCTGGAAACTATTTCTCCCATTTCCTTTTTTTTTTTTTTGAGACAGAGTCTCACTCTCTCACCCAGGCTAGAGTGCAGTGCTGTAATCTTGGCTCACTGCAACCTCCGCCTTCTGGGTTCAAGTGATTCTCCTGCCTCAGCCTCCCTGCCTCTAGCTGGGGCACGTGTCACCACGCCCGGCTAATGTTTTTGTATTTTAGTAGAGGTAGGGTTTTCGCCATGTTGACCAGGCTGGTCTCGAACTCCTGACCTCAAGTGATCTGCCCGCCTTGGCGGCTGGGATTAAAGGTGTGAGCCACCACACCCGGCCCCATCCCCATTTTTATATTCATGTTCAACTCTTTTCCTATCCCAGTGCCACAATGCAAATGTTTGCCTACACTTACTAATTAAATACCAAGAGAAAGCCCCCCACTGCGACCATGGTCAGGTGGGGGTGAAAGCAGCAGCCGTGGAGCTGTGGGGAGCAGCCAGGGCAATCAGCCCAGCGCCCCCTCCCCACCCCCAAACTCCGCCAATCACCAGCTTTTAGTCCCCAGTATCCAGGGACAGTCTGGTAACCGGAACTTTTGTGTTCAGCTGAAGAGAATGTGCAAATGACAGTTTTGGCCGTCAAGGAGCGTATTACTTAAGCAAGGAGCTTACAGATTTATGAGCTGACATCTCAGATTTGTGGCTTTGCAGTATTCCTCAACTTCCCTTTAGAGCAGCCAATAGGCACAGACAGGCCTTGCGGGCTCATTACTTCACCCCACATCTCCACCCCCACCAAGACACAGCAGGTGGTTCATTTGTGGAGACACCCAGGGTCAAAGGAAAGTGAAAAATGAGTCTGCACCAACTCCTGGGCTGGATCTGAAGAGGCGAATAATAGACCCACAGTGTATTCACTGTATAGCAAAGGCAGCTGCAGCGGGGCGTTCATATAGACGCATGTGATATCAATACATACAGCCCTACAGAGCTGCCTAGTAGCAAATCACGCTCGCGTACATGATTTCATGTCATCCTCTGCGCCATCTTGTGGCTCTACATGAGGACTGGCCATGGGAACGGACAATTCCTGTTACACGTTTTGTTGTTGCCGTTCTGCAAATAGCATTTTCTGAAGGAAAAACAGACTCTAACACCATGGAAGAGCTTGCTTCATCACGGACCAGAGTTCAAGCATTGCTATGGGAAATGTACCATTCTGCTGATAAAAAGGATAAATCCAGATATGGCCTGCAAGTCCGGGTTCAGAAAGAGAGAGCAATACGGTGCCATTCTCTTTAGTCCTGGATAGTCCCACCGTGAAAACAAACTCAGGGGAGAAGCAGAATAGAATCCAAATACTCCTCCAGGGAGAGGACTCATGAGATACAACAGAAACCCAAGTATGAGGCTATCGTCCAAACCCAGCTTTGTCAGATGCAACACCCTCTGCCCCTTCCCTGACCATGCTGCCTCCATGATGATTCTTTCTCTTTCCTCCTCTGCTTTTAGAAACCATTTTCCCTTCTCCACCCTCACAGGCAGGGATCTGAACTCCCTCATTCATACCCTGGGACAAGCCGAGTTACAGAGCGAGCCCTCCCATGCCACTGGCTTTCAGAATCTTACCTGTCATTCTGCAATGAAAAGTTTTGTTGCTCACAGTTTCAACCATCAGAGGTTCTAGCCCACATAAAGCCTGGCCTGCTTCTACAACAAATAATGGGCCCACACTGCAAGGATGGTATAAAAGAGAATATTGTTTTGTTTCACTAAAATGTGTGAATCTCAGTATCTGAGAAACCAACTAAAATATTGGTATAAAAAATGCTTTGTCCTCATACTAACTTAAAACTGAAGGCAACTGCACAGCACTCTACTCATCCAAGCCTTCCACACACATTATTTCATTTCATCTTCACTCAAGACCTGAGGCAGGGCAGGGACTCTTCATCCATTCCTTCTGTCATTTACGTATCCGTTCGGGAAACATTCATTGAGTGCTGCCCGGTCTTGACACCGAAGGCAGAGCTTTAAGACAGAGATGACAGTCGAGTGGGAAAGGCAGACAGTGATGGCTGCACGGTAAGCGTGGAGAGATGTAGGTGCCATAGGATGGCAGAGGAGAAGCCCTGACCCTCGGGCTCAGGGGATCAGGGGAGTCTCATAGAAGGAGAGAAGAAAGGAGCCAGCCAGGAGGAGGACCCGTCGTGCTGAGGGACCGGCACGAGTCAAGGTGAGGAGAGTGGTGGAGTAAGGAGTAACCCATCTAGGGCTGTAGCATGGAAGAGGGGGTGATCATTTTCTTAAGATCACTCAAATGGTTATGCACAGAGCTGGGACTCAAACACCCAGGTCTTGACTTCTACTCGAGCACGCTTTCCATTCTGTGACATTGCCTCCCTGTCTTCCCAGGTCCCCTGTCATTAAGGATCTGGGTCCTCTGTTGGAAAGTGTCTGAGAGACAGACCTACCGCTGACAGGAGAACATGAGGACAGTATTGACATCAAGGCTATGGCCAGACGCTAAGCTAAGCACCATGCATTATCTCATTTAATTCTCGAAAAACCTAATGAGGTAAGCTTCGCGTGCATTTTACTGATGGAGAGAATAGAAGTCAAGCAATGACCAGCAGTAGCTCAAATGGAGGTAACAGCTCTGGGTTCTACTACATTCAGATGTTACCTAATCGCCACTCTTCCACTGACTCCTAGAGGAAGATACGAGAAAAAATGTCTAGGAGAGAAGCCAAGTCCTTCCTCTGGTCAGGAAAACTTGCAGAGGCATTTTTCACAGGTCATTCTCCAAATTTATTTTAATTTTCTTTTTTAAAAACCTTCATTATATAAATGTCTATTTTTTATTTTATTATTATTATTATTATTTTTGAGATGGAGTCTCACTTACTCTGTCGCCCAGGCTGGAATGCAGTGGAGGATCTTGGCTCACTGCAACTTCTTCCTTCTGGGTTCAAGCGATTCTCCTGCCTCAGCCTCCTGAGTAGCTGGGACTACAGACGCCCGCCACCATGCCTGGCTAACATTTTTGTATTTTTAGTAGAGACGGGGTTTTGCCATGTTGGCTAGGCCAGTCTTGAACTCCTGACCTCAAGTGATCCGCCCGCCTCGGACTCCCAAAGTGCTGGGATTACAGGTGTGAGCCACTGCGCCTGGACTTATTTTTTATTTTTTAACTGACAAGTGGAAGTTGTATATATTTATCATGTACAACACATTGTTTTAAAATATGTACACATTGTGGAATAGCTAGACTGAGCTAATTAACATATGTATTATCTTACATACTTTTTTATGGTGAGAACACTTACAATCTACTCTCTTAGCAGCAATTTTCAAGGACGCGATGCATTGTTATTAACGATATTTACATGTTTCTCCCCCGCAGTGTCTCCAGTGGAAGAAGTGGGAAGATGAGGTTCGGAAGGGGTGCATTCTTTCAGCGTGCCACAGGCTTTGCAGCAAAACTCACCAGGAGCTTGAGAGTTCTCTGCAGTGTAGATGAAATGAGGGAGGAATGGAGTTTACAGGGAGAAAAATGTGGGCCGATGTAACACTAAGGCCAATTAGCTCAGACAAAGGGCAAAAATGAGAGCTGGCAACCTGTCTAGTAAGAAACGTGAGCAAGGCCCTAATGCAGGTGCTGTTCCTCAGGGTCCAACAGCTGAAGGCCACGCTTGGTTTTTACAACATTTCTTGGGCTCCCAGCTTTTCAGAACAGCACCCGTTGTTAGAAAGACGGCTGTCCAGAGAGAGAACATACCAGCATAGTGGGATCGTTGAGCAAAGCAAGAACACTGGCGGTGGATCTCAAGCAAAGCTTTCTGGCAGAACATCGGGCCGAAATGAAAGCTTCGTTCCATGTGTAAGGCACTGATCAGTTTAAGACTTTTCTTCACCATCTGCCCTTATCAGTTTTGACCTGCTAGGTGCTTCACAGAACTTTGCTTGAAACTTTAGAGACAACCCACCTGTCTCTCTCGCTGTCTCTTTCTCTCCTTTCTTTCACCTTGACTCTAGTATTTTTTTTTAATTGCTCAGCAGTTTTCCCGATGTCAATCAGCTGCCTCTCTCAAAGACCATGTGCAGGTATCAGCATATCTGGTCTCTTTGCTCATTCACTGCTAAAAAGCACTCTCGGTCCTCCACGAAAACACGTGAGATTCTAGAGGGGGCGGCGGGGTTGGGGGGGGGTGCAGGTTGGAGCTGTCCACCAGGGGCAGTTGAGAGGCACAAGCTGTGGGGGTGGAGGAGGGTGTGGAGGAGGGTGGGGTTGCTTCCTCTGTTAGTGAGCAGAAACTCGAAAGATGGTTTCTTTTTGCCTTTTCTTTTCTATTTCTGGAGCAAGCTTTCTCCTTTGCTCAAAATCCAGGGGCATGATGAAAGACTGTCTGTCTCCCCTAACCCAGGAAGGCTATAACTGGTATCTGCTTTAACAGGGAACCCAAAACAAGGATGAGAACTGGAATTTGGGTAAGAAAATTATTCTGTTTTTAGTCATTGTTTTTTAATGATTTTCCTTTCCCCGGCATGATTTTTGCTCTAGGTTTTCCACTCTGCTTCAAGCCTCTTCCAGATGCAGGAGTCTAACAGAGTCCACATAAACAAGAAACCAAAACAAAACGGCACAAGATCGAAAGCTTTCCCCTTGTGATACAACCACTTTATGTGCAGAGAGGCGCTCACATGATGCTGCCAACATGTGTTTTCTGTCTCAGATTTCCCTTGATAACAAAGGACATATTTTAGAAGGCGTGGCCCTAGGTGCATTTGGCCAGCAGGAATCCGAGTGGAGTTTGGGGATTTCATTTGGGTTTAGGCTGATCCCCTCGGGTGCCCAGTGCTACAGCCCTTGATGATGTTAAACCCCAATTAATAAAGTTGTTAGGAACACTTTGGGTCAGGTTTGTAAGATATGATCTCATTCTACTGCTCACAGAACTGATTTAATATTCAGGAATCAACTAAGCTCATTCATTTCCAAAATTGGCAGCCCTGCATGTTGCTTCACAGTACTCCCTCTGTCCAAGGCTGGGCAGGGTATGTTAAAAGGAAATCTGCAGAAGAGTCTTTCATGATGTTCCAAGACTCAGAGAGAAGGATGGGGGCTGGGAAACAGGCAGGGTGGACAGGTGGGAGGGACAGTAGCTCTGCCTGAGGTATGAATGTGATAGACAGAGAAAGGCAATGATAGCTCAGAAAAACTCACGACTCTTATTGTTAGAAATCCCACTTCCAAATCTATGCAAGTTTTAAGAAGCCAGAAATAGCTGCATTAACATTACCGTATGGACTTTTTTTAAAAAGTTGCAAATGACCATAAAAAATATCAGCCATCTCTTTTGATGACCTTACCTAAGTGATTTATGATCTTAAAAGCCTCCTCTAAATACTGCTTTTTAATCAAGAAAGCTTATGTTACTCTTCCTACACAAAATTAACCTCACTTCAGATTTTGAAGAAAAGGCAGATCATATTTTTAAATTTCAATTTTTCATCTTTTAAATAGCCGTTCCTTTCTCTTGTGAAATAAACTGATTTTGGTCTTCAAGTGACTTGTTTTTCCTCCCTGAATACTTAGGAATTGAAGTGCTTAAACGAAGCCCTCACACAGAAAGATGGAAAAGTCTCTGACTGGTATAAACTAGCAATGACTAGCTTTCCACTAGACAGTGGCCTGCAACCCAAGAGTGACCAGACATTGTACTCTAGAATAGGGAGATGTCCGACCTCAAGAAAAGTTGAAATGGACAGGAAACATAGTCAACATTTGACATTAGTTAAAAAACAAAACCAAACAAACAAACAAACAAACAAAAACCCTCACATTTACGCAGCCAGAAAGAACCTGCTCTGAAAGCCACAGGCTAACTTCATTTTTATGATCCTGTAAAGAGAATACATTTTAGTTCTTTGATTCTAATATGAGCCAATGTCAAATATTTTAGCAACTCTGAATAAGCCTGATTATAGCAATGACTGTCAGTTCAGAAACCTTCTTCATTTATTACCCATTTCATTCCCATCCTCCGGAGGATGTTTGTAGCTTCTATGTCGGTAGTTTGTGTGTCTCTTCTGATAGAACTAGGTATTCTGCAAGTCCATTGAACAAGAAGAAAGCTTGCACAACCTGGACCCTCCTAACTTCTTTGAAATGGTTTATGCATTTTATTTTTACTTTTCTCAAAAGGAAACTGAAAAAGTTAAAGTAAAAAAAAAATAGCAAGAAAACAGACCACCTAACTCCAGCAACATATATAACTGCGTTACTTACACTGCTTTCCAATCCATCATCATTGATAAGTCATGGCTAAATAATCAAGTGCAGAATCCATTTCTTCACGTCTGCTAATAAATAGCTTCTCTCAAATGTCTCTTGCAGATCTGGGGCCATCTCAGGAGAAAGTAAAATTGTGCGAAGGTGAAGGAGGAAAGGCTGGAAAATTCTAAAATCCATGGGGGTCTGAGAACTCTCAGAGCAGACCCTGGTGAAACATTCTTGTGATTCCAGCCTTTGGCTAAACCATGATCCTGGCCTCACTGAGCTCCCAGCCACCTTCCCAGTGCAGCTCAGCCCCTGCTCCAACATTGCATTTCCCTCCAAGAACAGTGCATGGATGGGAGAGGAGCTCACACAATCCTGCCAATCCGCACATGCAAGCACGCTTCTCAAAGGAAGCTGCACCAGTTTCACTCTGGTGTCTGCTATCTCAGAGAGAGAGAGGGAGGGAGGGAGGGAGGGGCAGAGGCAGGCAGGCAGGGAGGGGTGAAACAGGGAGAGAGGGGAAGAGAGAGAGAGAGAGAGAGAGAGAGAGAGAGAGAGAGAAGCTCTGCTAAAAGAGACAGCCGAGAAAGAAATACTTGCTACAACTCCAATTAACCCACAGTAGCTTAGGGTTCTTGGCACAGCAGCTGCAAAATATACTGTCAAAATCAAGTGTTTAAAATCTTTAATTGTACATCCCTGTACACATTTAGCCACGTATGTGCAGACAAAGCTGATGGAACCCAGGTTTTGTATATGTCTGTGACTCTGCAAGGGAACACTTGTAGACAAACAGATGCAGATATATATCCCCATGAGAATAACATCTGCATGCACGTTTCATTTTCTAAGTGAAATTGTCTAGTCTCACAGTTTGCACGCCTTAAAACTATTCCAATGCTCTCAGTAATGAAAGTGCAAACCCAACAAACAGCCCTTTGCCTCTGACCCCATCTCATCTCTGATCGTGTTTTCCTCAGTTTGGTCTGGGTTCCTGTTTCTTTTTCCCTGCCTCAGGAAAGAAACCCCCAAAAGAGAAGAAGGTAGAGAGGCGAGGCAGGAGCTTTCAGTGTGACTGTCAACTTCGCATGCCCCACTCCACTGTTCATGGCACTGCAGCCCAGGACCCTCCACAGACCCAGCCAAAGCCCAGATGATGCCCAAGGGAGGGCGTGGCATGGAGCAGAGACATGAGACCCACAGACGGGGCTCTGTAATAGCACAGGAACCGGTGAAGATGTTTAAGGAAGAAGAAGCAACAGAGGAGCTGAAGGCAGGAAGGGAGAAGGGAGAAAGGCACAGGTGAGGCAGGCTGGGAGGGGCAGCCATGGTAGCAGGAAGCACAAGGTCACCTGTGACTGATTCCTGAGTGGTCTCTCCAACCCTCCCTGTTCACCTGTGTTTCTCCATGTGGAGTCCCAGTCATCTGCACTAAAGATACCTGGACCCTACCCCAAAGATTCTGATTGAGCTGGTGGGACCATCTGCATTTTACCAAGCTCCACAGATAGTTCTGCAGGCAGGAGTTTCTGGAGACCCATTGCTTCATTGACATTGAGCAAGTGAATGGATGAAAATTGAATGACGTGAGAAGAGATCCTAATGCAACACCTATGGGAACACCAACATTTATGGAGGATAGGAGAGTGGAAACGAAACTGAAGGTGAATGGTCAGAATGGTGAGAGGGGAATGAGGAGGGAGAAGAATCACTACACGTGCTATGCTGTTCCCTTTACCTGGAACGCTCATCTTCCTCAGGCAAACCATCCCTTAAAAAGTCTCATCCTCTTGGAAACTTTTCAAAAGTCTCATCCTCTTGGAAACTTTTCTAACTCTCCCAGACATAGAGAACGGCTCCAATCCCATCTTGTTTGTATTTCTCATTGTAAGTACCTATACACACTGCCCTTCTTTATTGGCTGGTTTCTCTCTTTCTCATTCTAGGATGATGAGCTGTTTTATGTAGACTATATGATCTCTCAGTCATCATTACATGTCCCCAAATTCTGGAAAAAGTAGCTACTCCACGTGCATAAATATATCACAAGAGGATTTCTTAACCTGAGGAGTTGGTATATAGACGTTTGCTCTACTATTGGTCTTTAAACTGAACATCTACCTCCATTTCACACACTATTTTCATGCATGATACACTTCACAGTAAAGAAACACTTTAAATGTTTCTTTAATAGGATTTAGTCTAGAGAGTTATGACTTAGTGGAAAATGAAAAGAAAAAGTTTTAAGGAGCTAATCTAACAAGGAGGCAAACAAGACAAAAGGCAAAGAAAGTACCAGACTGAGGTGAACTCAGTACAAGGTGCAGCATTGCAGATGTGGTTTTTGATAAACCGATACATTTGGGACTCAGAAAGGTGTCACACTTCCATTAATGGTGACAAAGAAATCGCCTAAACAGAGATAAGCTGCTCAAAGTAAGAGCGAACTTACACTCACTCTTCTGGAGAACGACCACCACATTTAGCCCCAATGTATGAAAACGGTCACTAAATTTGGTGAAACAGAGGTGGAATGAAAGATACCAAAATAATTAGCAGAAAACAAAATCACCCATCTACTTGGCTTAAAAAAAAAAGAGGAACTGTAGATTAAAAGTTAAGGATCACACAGCACTTGGGGAGGTTGAGGCGGGAGGATCACGAGGTAAGGAGATCGAGACCATCCTGGCTAACACGGTGAAACCCCATCTCTACTAGAAATACAAAAAATTAGCCGGGCGTGGTGGCGGGCGCCAGTAGTCACAGCTACTTGGGAGGCTGAGGCAGGAGAATGGTGTGAACCCAGGAGGCGGAGCTTGCAGTGAGCCGAGATCGCGCCACTGCACTCCAGCCTGGGCGACAGAGCGAGACTCCGTCTCAACAACAACAATAAAAAAGTTAGGGATCACACTAATCATCGAATAGATGAATGAATGAATGAATGAATGGAATGGTGAAGGGTCTAGAACATCCTTGGGGAAACACCAGCACTTGAGGGGCATTTCAAACACTGTTTTCTTAGTTTTTAAAGTGTTTCATCACTTGGTGTGTACACCTGAGGAATCATGGCTCAGAAAAGCTGAACGACTTGCTCTTGGTCACACAGCTACTAACTTCCTGAACGAGATCTGGAACCCGATCTTCCACATTCAATCTGCTACACTTTCCACTGCACCACATTAAGCCCCAATGTATGAAAATGGTCACTAAACTTGGTGAAACAGAGGTGGAAATGAAAGATGCCAATAGGAATCCATCTTGAAACACAGGAGAAAGCCATCGCAAGGACCAAAGGTTGTTGTCAACCTTTGACAACAGATGTTGTCAAAACATCTGTTGGCAAGCAGCTTACGTAGTGCTGTGAAGCTGGGAATCCCTAACCAGAAGTTTGGGGTGGCCTGGCTGGGAAGGCTGCCTCCCGGGACTCTCCTCTCCACTGTCTCTCATGTTCACCAGCAATCCTGGGGCCATGTGGAGGGGACATGGAGATGTGCCTTCTAGATCTTGCTTCAAGGGAGGACTTGTTGCCCCAGCTGTGGGCAATTGGCTTCCAGCTGACAGCTTCTTCAGGATTTGCTTCCACTGAAGAAAGCCACAGAATGCTGCAGAAGGCCAAGGGCCTGCCCTTCCCAAGGTGGTTCACATCCAAAGACTGATAGCAGTGAGGGTATAAAGGCCCAGCCATCAAGTCCAACACAGGACACGAGGATGGGCCATTTATGCTCCAGCGCTTCCCTGTGGGGCTGGCCAAGGCTTTGTTGGCCTGTGTGGCAGTTTGACTTTTTCCTTGGTACAATCCTGCATCCTCCTGGTTTCTACGGGTGTGGATTTCCAGTAAACATCCTGCATGCCCAGCTCCACCTGAGTGTTGGCTTCCAGGGAAGCCAGGTTCCAACCTGCAACCTTCTGCTCTGTTTCCAGACTTATTACCAGCAATCTCCACATACACTGACCTCTGCTGATTTCGAAGCTTCTAAGCAACAAAAATGGACTCTTCCTCCCTCACCAAAATGTTGGGCAGCTAATTTTATCTCTAGAGGTGTCAGTTCTCTCATCTAGAGGAAATTAGAGGCAATGGAGCCCTCGGGCCTCCTGGGAGGTATGAGGAAGTCTACCCTCCCTGGACCAATACTGAGGGTCTTATAAGATTTCACTTCAGGCTGGGCACCGTGGCTCACGCCTGTAATCCCAGCACCTTGGGAGGCCGACGTGGGTGGATCACCTGAGCTCAGGAGTTCAAGACCAGCCTGGTCAACATGGTGAAAGCCAATCTCTAATAAATACAAAAAAATTTAGCCGAGTGTAATTACATGGTTGTAATCCCAGCTACTTGGGAGGCTGAGGCAGGAGAATTGCTTGAACCCAGGAGGTGGAGGTTGCAGTGGGCTGAGATTGTGCCACTGCACTCCAGCCTGGGCAACAAGAGTGAAACTTTGTCACAAAACAAACAAACAAAAATTCACTTCAAATGGGGAGTTTGCAGTTAAAATTTTTTTGAAAAGCACTGGTTCTGATGATCCCATAGACCCCTCCAATCTGTAGTATTCTATGATGCTGTGACTGTCTTCAGAAGACACAAACAAGCAGAATAACAAAATGGTACCTAAGGCCATCCACTAATTTGAAAAACAAAACTCATATATAAAGACAAGATCATAATACAGATTAAGAGAGCGATGGCTTTAAGGCTAAATTCTGGTTTATTGGGCAGATAGGCAACTATAAATGATGATGGAATTAAGAATAGTTTCCTGAAGGGGTTTGGACAATTTATTACTTTATAGGGCTATCAGGAGGACTTAAGATGGGTAAAGTAAAATAAAAAGTTTTCAGTTAAATGAATCAAATTCCATGACTGTAGTCTGCAATGATCTCTTCCCTCCTGACCCCAAAACACAGGAGTGTCTGTGACAAAGGCTAACTGAGGGGACATAAGAAATTAGGCCCCACTGTCCCTGTTAATATACCCGAGAGACAGAAGTAGTTTCTTTATTCCCCGCTTATAGGAAAATACCATTCCAAGTAATGGTTAAAAAGAAAATATAAGCAGCTAAAATTCGATGGAAATACTTGATGTAAAAATATATGTATGTATTCACATGCAAGGAAGAAAGTCTAATGGTTACTAAATTGTTGTAAATAATGAAAAACTCTAAACGAATCATACCCAAATTACCTTAGAATTTCCCTGTGGGAAATACCTCATGTATGAAAATCCTTAATCATTTAAAGACACCAGGATTAAAATGAATCATCCGTATTCTGAAAATACAACGCAGAGATGGTTAAAAAGAAATTTGTAAAATTTGTGCTCCTTGATGTGCTGCACCACCAAATCTACACATTTTAGTAGTGTTTATATTTGGTAATTATTTCTAAAATCCACATTGTTCAGACAGAAGGAATGAAGGTACATTACAGTATATAATGACAATTGTATATAATGCTTTATGTATGAGCCGCAGTGGCTCATACCTATAATCCCAGAACTTTGGGAGGCTGAGGTGGCTGGATCACCTGAGGTCAGGAGTTCAAGACCAGCCTGGCCAACACGGTGAAACCCCGTCTCTACTACAAATACAAAAATCAGCAGGGCGTGGTTGCAGGCACCTGTAAACCCAGCTACTTGGGAGGCTGAGGCAGGAGAATCACTGAACCTGGGAAGTAGAGGTTGCAATGAGCCAAGATTGTGCCACAGCACTCCAGCCTGGGCGACAGAGCAAGACTCCCTCTCAAAAGAATAAATGAATGAATAAATAAATTCTTTACATCTTTAAAACTTCAATTGTCTATAAATATAGATCCCAAGTCTGCTAATAAGAAAACTACACAGCTGACACTATCTGGAATAGTCAGGCCCTGTGTATACCTATTATAGACTTATTAAAAAAAAAAAAATAGGCGAGGCGCAGTGGCTCATGTCTGTAATCCCAGCACTTTTGGAGGCCAAGGCAGGCGGATCACTTGAGGTCATGAGTTCGAGAACAGCCTGGCCAACATGGTGAAACCCCGTCTCTACTAAAATACAAAAATTAGCCAGGCATGGTGGCACGTGCCTGTAATCCCAACTACTTGGGAGGCTGAGCCAGGAGAATCGCTTGAACCCGGGAGGCGGAGGTTGCAGTGAGCCAAGAGTGTGCCATTGCACTCCAGCCTGGGTGACAGAGCGAGACTCTCTCTCAAAAAATAAAAAAGTATTTTATTGCTTAATTTTCCAACTACAAACCATCATTTAGTTTGTCATTCCATAGGAAATTAGGGATTTATTCATTTAAAATTCGTTAAAATTTTACCATTTCTTTTGTAGTCTTGCTCCCTGCTTTCTACGAGGAGACAGAGCCACCTCTGACCACGGCTACAATTTTAACTAAGAGGAGAAGGAAGGGAAAGAGCAGAGAGGCTGGGCACAGTGGCTCACACCTGTAATCCCAGCACTTCAGGAGGCCAAGATGGGAGGACTCTTGAGGCAAGGAGTTCGAGACCAGCCTGGGCAACATAGTGAGACACTATCTGCACAAAAAAATTAAAAAACTAGCTGGGAGTGGTGGTGTGGACCTGCAGTCCCAGCTACTGAAGCAGGAAGATTGCTTGAGCCCAGGAGGTCAAGACTGCAGTGAGCAGTGTTTGTACCACTAGGCATCACAGGGGTGGCACTTCAGCCTGGGTAACAGAGCAAGACCCTGTATCAAAAAAAAAGAAAAAGAAAGAAGGAAGAAAGGAAAACATGAAGGGAGGGAGGGAAGGAGGGAAGGAGGGAAGGAGGGAGGGAGAAAGAGAGGAAGGGAGGGAGGGAGGGAAGGAGGGAAGGAAGGAAGGGCAGAGAAAGAGAGAGAGAGAGACCAAGAAGGAGAGAGGAAAGTGTTTGGGATGGAAGGTGGGAAGGGGTTGGAGGAGAAGCTCTAGAATGGAGCCATCTGGGCCCTGGGGAGATGGAGAGAGCAATGGGTGATGTAAAGCTCCCCAGAGAGAATAGGGCCCAGGGCCTCCTCTCTTCCCACGCTGTGGCACTGACCTCCTGGCCTTGCCCTCACCCACTCTACTCCAGAAGTGTGCAGAGAAGATATGACAGAAAGCTTGGGAACTAGTACTTTATTCAGCAGCCCCTAGGGGATACGAAAACGACCGAAGCAGGACCAGGTTCCTTTCCTTAGGAAACCCTTGTGCTGGCTGCATCAGAACACTCAGGAGAGAACAATCTTCTACAGACAGCCTTTGGATCATATCTCTGACCAACGCCTGGGAAAGGCCTACCAGGGTAGCTGGAGTCATGTGGCATCAAATCCCATAGCACAGATGGGTTGGCTTTGGAATAGCTACCAGATCCTTACAGAAGAGAATCAAAACCTGCATAAGGCAAGACAGCCACCCTGCGGCAACGCCGAGAGCAAAACCAAGTTCTAGCTCCAAGTCCATTGGTCCAGCCGGTGCTTCCAACACACCCATCACCGCCCAGCTCTCCGATACGGACAGTCATTATCCCTCAGATACATGGTGCTGGGATGCCCTTTATCTTTAGTCTCACAGACTTAAGAGAGGTTTTTTATCCCTCTCAAAAGAACCGAGAAATTCTCTCCATACAGGGCATTTGAGAACAGAGCTCTTTTGTTGCAAATAGTCAGAACATCAAACATTTTTTCAAAAAATAAAAGGTCAGATACCTCTAATATTTAGTTAGATCTGTATGGAACAAAGGAAGTACTTTCAAGAATGTAAATGGTGAATTTGGGACATGCCAATATCTTAAAAACTCATTTGGCATGTGGTATATACAGGGTGGTAGGTACTACCCAAAAGGAGCTTGGCACTTCATACAAATAACAGTTTAATTCATGTTATATACATGAAATATGAAAATCCATACATAAAATCTATATATTAATTAGCTATCCTTATAAGAAAAATGATACATGAAAATCTAGATGTAACTTTTAAAAGACAAATCAGGAAATTTTATGTGTCATTTAAAAAGAGTTCACCATGGCCGGGTGCGGTGGCTCACGCTGTAATCCCAGCACTTTGGGAGGCCGAGGCGGGCAGATCACCTGAGGTCGGGAGTTCAAGACCAGCCTGACCAACATGGAGAAACCCCGTCTCTACTAAAAATACAAAATTAGCCGGGGTGGTGGCGCATGTCTGTAATCCCAGCTACTCGGGAGGCTGAGGAAGGAGAATCACTTGAACCCGAGAGGCAGAGATTGCGATGAGCTGAGATCGCGCCATTGCACTCCAGCCTGGGCAACAAGAGCGAAACTCCATCTCGAAAAAAAAAAAAAAAAGTTCACCATAAGCTTCTTTTCCAATTAATACAGAAATTTTTCAGAGATATCCCCCTGTCATGACAAAACAGTTGGTACCCACTGATGTTCTTTAACCCTCCTACCATTTTATGTGTCTTTACTGATCCAGAGGCATGTTCTTCATACTTAGATAATATTATAATCATAACTATTATTTTCATTCATTCATTCAACAAATACATACAGAGAGTGCCTGAAACAAAACAAGACCAACCTAGTTTTGATCTTCATTGAGCTTGCAGTCTAAACTAGTCATGGTTTGCCAAGACAAGTGTTGCCTCTTCTTCTTCTTTTTTTTTTTTTTTTTTTTTGAGACAGAATCTTGCTCGCTCTGTTGCCAGGTTGGAGTGCAGTGGCAGGATCTCGGCTCACTGCAACCTCCCCCTCCTGGGTTCAAGCAATTCTCCTGCCTCAGCCTCCCGAGTAGCTGGGATTACAGGCGTGCGCCAATACACCCAGCTAATTTTTGTATTTTTAGTAGAGACAGGGTTTCACCATGTTGGTTAGGCTGGTCTCAAACTCTTGACCTCATGATCTGCCCACCTCGGCCTCCCAAAGTGCTGGGATTACAGGTGTGAGCCACCCTTCCCAGCCTGCCTCTTCTTTTTCAACATAACATCCCCTCACTCCAACTCATTCTCAAAAAGATGTAACAAAGTATGTAATGTTTGATCCAGGTCTCCATTAAATCTCCAGTTGGAAGAAATCATGCTGCACTCACTGTCCATATAAAGTAGTTCTAAAACAACAGACAAGATTCCTTTTTTATCAGAAAAGCAAAATCTAGTTATCTGTCCACCTATACTACAGGTCTGGTGTTTGCTCATCTGAAGTGCACGCCGCCTTCATTGGTTTGTATGAAAACTTTGGATGGTGAATGGCCAAGTTCTCAGATTATTATATAGATGGTACAGCTGGCGTCCCATGAATGTGCGGCAGTGCAGTAGGTACCAAAATATCAGGGTAGCACAATGTAGGCATGATGAAGCAATTGCCTAGTTCTAAAGACGGAAGTGCAGCAGAGCCAAATTTAGCAAAAGGCCCAACGGTCCTCCGTCTGTGTGTTGACAAAGGAATAGAATTATTTCAGACTGCTATATGCCTCTAAATATGTGGCTAGTCTTAGCAAGAATGCATTTGTTTACACTTTCAGTCACAAAGTCTAATTTTGATATGAATTCCTACTACCACACTAGTCCAGTGTAGCAATTATCCTCCAATTAAAAAGTGCTCTGCGGATAAAAACTAATCTCTATGATACCTCTGCAGGCATGATAACTCTTCTAAAGCAGGATTATCATCTCTTTGTAAATGTAGGAGAAAGAAGATATTTATTCCACTGGCTTCTTAAGAACAGATGACAAAGAACTCTGACCCTAGCATCAAACTAAACTGGGTTCAAATCTCTCACAGAGTAAAAACAAATCACCACCACAAATAAGTAGCTAGTCCTTACCATATGCCAGGCCAGGTTCTCGGAGCTGTCTATATATCAACTTATTTAACCCTCATTACGACTCTGTGACATCCGCAACACTATTATCCTTATTCTACAGATAAGGACATTGAAACACAAAGAAGTTAAGACCTTTTCTCAAGGTCACATAGCTCGTAAGTGGCAAGGCCAAGATCTGGACCCAGGTGGCCTGGTTGCAGTGTCCTCTCTCAAACTTTTCACACCAGATTGCCTCGAGTAAATTACTGAAGTTCTCTAAACGACTGTTCTGTCCACGAAATGGGGATAATATGGTACTGACCTCACAGGATGGCCAGAATGTTTAAAATCATGCATCTGAAAGTGCTTATAACACATCACATACGCATAGTAAGTGGTCTTGATTTTAATGAGTTCGTCATTAGAACTCAGCCTGCATGAAAAGATTCCTCTTTGATTGTCAGGGGATGGAGGTGGCATTTTAGGCAGCTCTGGCAATGCTGCTGACTGACTTACAAAGAAAGGGGCAGGACCTATGGAAGGAAATGAATTTCACCATCCTCACTGCAGCTCTTGCGTAAGATACAAATCAATTAATTCATCACATTCTTATCCCATTCAGCATCTCGCCATCAGGAGGCCCCTGCCCAGCTCTTCGGAATTCCTCCTCTGATTCAGCTGTGGCTTCTCTAGTTGGCCGGGGCCCAGCCCTCGCCCTGGTGAAGTTCAAGAGCTACATAAGCTGCCTGGCCTTGGATGTTCTTCTGAGAGTTTGGAAGGAACCCTCAGTCAGTTTCTGACAAGTTATTGGCAAAAGGAGATGAAACGCTTGCCAATTTGCTTCAGGCACCGAGCATGTTAACAGGTATTACACCAGGTGTTATTAATACGTTACTTACAACAAACCCAGTTTTCAACCTATTGTTTGGGTTATATAGAGTTATGGATTTTATACTTTACAAAGTACTGTATTTTTTCTAACTGACAAAACTTGGAATGTGTGTTGAAGAATTCAGTCCTCAAATGTGAGATGTATTTATTACAAATGAGTCTTATTTCAGAATCAGTTTGTGGGTTAAATGACCAATACCATTTCTTCAAATCAATCACTTGCTAAAGCCAAAGACTGGGACAGGTGTCACTCCCAGGGCTCAGCCAGTCAAGCTTACAGGAATGAGGTCAGTGCCCTGATGAAATGGCTTTCTTTTTCCTCTAAGGAAAGTCGACAGCTTTCACCCAAAGAAATTTCAGAGCTGGAAGGAATAGCTTTGAATGCTGTACACTTGGGGGCTTAGACAATGAATATGTAAGACACAGTAGTCCTAAAACCTTCCACCGTTCTTAGCAAGCACAGGGACTGTCTGCAATCTCATTGATGATGTGTAGCTATCCAGCCTAAAACAAAGTGCGCATTGGAAGTCAGAGAACAGGCAGGAAGGAAACGCTTCCACTCAGCCCAACCCTCAGCAAATTCCTAGAAGGGGGAGAATGTCTCCCTTAGGAAAGTGACCGTTTGATACATTCCCCACTGTGTACCTCGCACCCATGATTGCTTTAGCACTTTACCAGCCATCAGACCTACCAGCCTGAATACCACAAGCACAAACCGAACCAAACAAAACAAGGCCTCTGTCCAGCTCTATGGCCCTCCAGGCCCAGGACAGCAATTGGCTAACGGAGTGCCATGCGCACTACTGAGCTATTTCCAGACAACGTGATTTCTGAAGAAATGCTGCTCACTTTGCCTCTCTGTCCCCCTCAAATTACTTTAAAGTGGAGGTCTAGAATATATGTAAGTGGAAACTTTTTGGCTTACTCAAATTATACTCTATAAAGTTGTCTATTTATCTATGGGCTAGGGTTCCGAGCTGTGTGTCCTCAGCCAAGTTTACGTGTCCCGGAATAATAAAATCAGATAATAATCTCTACCTCACTTCCGATAGACTATGGCAGTGCAGGTTAGCTATGAATTAGGGACTCCACCCTTATTCGGCTTTGCCCCTAGACTCACCATGTAGCCTTGGCTAAATCACCTGCGTATCTGGGCTGATTTATTCAACCTCTTCAGACTATCATTATGTTGGATTAACCTAGGTTAATCCTAGAAAGGGTTTCCAGGAAAGGAAACCACAAACACACACAGACACACACACACACACATCACTATTATTCTAGTGTTCTCTTAACATTTTTAATATGAGTCAACGCTAAGGACATTGAGAATTGTCCTGAGTTTGAAGCTCCCATACATCTTTCTCTTTGGGCGAAGGTAACATGAGCTGCTTGACATCACTGAAATAAAAGAGATTTGGTCTAGATAAAAACTGATTTTAAAAAAAAAGGCAATCCAAGTTGTTCCTTCAGGAGTCACACTAGTCTGGCAACCGGTTGCCTCATGAATGTAACTGTGTCTGCTTTTCTTAAAGAACACTTGCCAATTTTCCTCTTCCCATCTAACACATGCACAAAAAAACTTCCCATTTTCCTCACCAGTTCCTTGACTGCATTTACTATCTGATGCAAGAAGAATGTGAACCCGTCCAAGAAACACAGGTAGGGAAGAGAGAGGAGTGAGAGACTAGCCTCGTTGCCTCCTCTTTTCCCCAGTACCTCTCAGATTCTGTACCTGGAAGGACAAACCCAGGAGGGCAGTGGGTGGAAACTGGCCTTTCTTGCAGGCAGCCTGGAAGAGCAGATGTTGAATTATTGAAAGTTCCTGGCTAAAAGAAGTGAAATATTAATGACCATATTATGGAGAGGAAGAAAACTTGACAATCCACACAGATTTGAACTATCTTTTCAGGAAGAAAGCTCAGTATACATGATTGAGTGCCCTCTGACACAGCTTGGAAGAAATGATCCCTTTGCTTATATGCACGCTCTGATTGCCAACTGCTGGGCTCTCTCCCGCCCCTCACTTCTGCTGGTTGCTGTGGATAAACAGTTTTCAGCTATGTTCATAAGCTCTATTTTCAGCATGTTCTTCCTTAACCCAGCTGCCTCTCCAGTGAAGATGTTTGCTGGCGGAGTCAATGATAACATTCCACTAGCTTCTAATTAAACACACGGAGCCAAGACTGATAAACTTCACATCCAGGCTGACTTATCACCTGAGTTGCCCCTGAGGTCTCTGATTCAATTTCCAGCTTCTCTGACCACACTAAAGCAAATTGGGTTAAAAATATTAGAATATAAAGTGTGACAGCCCAGGCTCTCATCTCACTTACCTCGTCCTGCTCCCAGAAGGAAGACTTCTACACAGAAAGGAGATATGCAGGGAAATGGAACAAGATGGCAATTTGATGGATAATAATAAATGATGTTTGAATGTTGAAAAATCAACTGCAAGTTACATATGGAGTTTGAGATGAATGATAATATGATAGAATAAATCTCAGCACTTTGGGAGGCCAAGGCAGGCAGATCACGAGGTCAGGAGTTTGAGACCAGCCTGGCCAACAAGGTGAAACCCTGTCTCTACTAAAGATATAAAAATTAGCTGGGTGTGGTGGCACATGCCTGTAATCCCAGCTACTCAGGAGGCTGAGGCAGGAGAATCACTTGAACCCAGGAGGCGGAGGTTGCAGTGAGCTGAGATCACGCCATTGCACTCCAGCCTGGGCAACAGGGCAAGATTCTGTCTTAAAATAAATAAATAAATAACAGTCCTTCAGTATACATAGTATAATAATGTGTGGGTTAGTTATTAATTTACATTATAGGAGTAGTTATTTAATATTTGAAGTACCTTAGGAATACACACTTCAGGGGTGAGTGGTTAGTTAGCGCTTGACGTGTAAAATTTTCATCATTTCATTTCAAACTATTGTCTGAAATCCACTGAAATTTCTTCTTTAACCTGTTGGTTATTTACAAGTAGAATGCTTAATTTCTAAACATTTGGTGATTTTCTATTTTTATGGTCATTGATTTACAGCTTAATTTCTCTCTGGTCAAAAAAAAAGTACTCTGAATGAATTTAGTCCTTTGAAATTTGTCAAGAATTGCTTTATGAGCCAACATATGGTCAATTTTGGTTAATGTCCCAGTTGTACTTGGAAATGAATTGTGTCATTGTTGAGAGATTCAGATCTTCTCTCCTAACTGATTTTTTGTCTGCCTGTTCTATCAGTTTTTGAGAGAGACATGTTGTTTCTATGATTACAGACTGGTTTCTTCTTTTAATTCTGTATATTTTTGGCTATTTAACATTAATGATAAATTAAAGATACTTATCTTTTTTTTTTTTTTTGAGATGGAGTTTCACCCTTGTTGCCCAGGCTGGAGTGCAATGGTGCAATCTCGGCTCTCAGCAACCTCCACCCCCAGGGTTCAAGCAATTCTCCTGCCTCAACCTCCCGAGTAGTTGCGATTACAGACATGCGCCACCACACCCAGCTAATTTTGTATTTTTAGTAGAGATGGGGTTTCTCCATGTTGGTCAGGCTGGTCTTGAACTCCTGACTTCATGATGATTCTTGAAAAGTCTATTTTCTCTTATATTAGAACTATGCCAGCTTATATTGGTTGGCATTTACAAGGTATATCTTTTTTTCATTCTTTTATCTTCAACTTCTTTTTGTCCTTACATTTATGAAGCGTCTCTTATAAGCAGTATTTAATTAGATTTTGTTGTCTTTAAAATACAGTCTAACAATAATTATCTTTTAATTAGAGTATTTAGTCAATTTTCATGTAACTCAATTACGGATATACTTGAGTTTATAGCTACCATCTTACAGTTGTTTTCTATTAGTCCACCTAGTTTATGTTCTCTTTCCTCTTCTTTCTTGAATTATTTTAGATTAATCAAGTATTTTTCATTCTATTTTCCCTTTTATGCATTATTTTACTAGTTGCTCTACAGATTACATTATGTGTCCTTGACCTATTATAGTCTGGTAAAATTCTGAGTTTTAATACTTCCAGATGTTATGATTTTATTACACTTTAACTCCCTTTACCCCCTTTCACTTTTTGTATTGTTTTTGTCATGCATTTAATGCTACATATATTTTAGTGCCCACAAAACCCCATTTTTGTTCTTTTATATGGTCAATGTTCATTTATATTTGCCCTATATTTATTTTCTGAACATTTTACAAAAATAGAATGGCCCATATGCCCCTCATCCAGATTCTTTAATTTTTCCACATTTCTGCATGTGAAAATTTTTTCTACATTTACTTTATCACATATTTATCCATCCCTCTATCCAGCCATCAATACATCTCATATTCTTAATACATTTGAACTTAACCACATGTTGACCCTTTCTGTCAGCTTTCATTCCTTCCTGCATTTCTGGGATCATTTTCTTTCTATCCGTATACTTCCTTTTAGTATTTCTTTTAGTGTTGGTCTACTGATGATGGATTCTTTCAATTTTTGTCCTGAAATGTCTTTATTTCACTTCAATGTTTGACGAATATCTTTATTAAGTTTGTAAACTTTTAGGTTGACGGTTACATTCTTTCAACCCATGAATATGACGTTCCATTGTCTCTTGGCATCCATTGTTTCTGTTGAGAAATGAGTTACTGTCTTAGTGTTGCTCCTTTAAAAATAATGAATTTTTTTCTCACGGCTTTAATCATTTTTCTCCTTGGCTTTTGTTTTCAACAGTTTTACTACATTGTACCCAGCTGTGGTTTTCTCTGTGTATATCCTGGTTGGGGCAAGCCAGGGCTTCTTAAATCACATTTTGAAGTAGAATTTTAGGTGTTAGAGGCTGAGAAAGGTAGGAAGGAGAGGTGGATGGGGAGAGGTTCATTAATGGATACCAAACTATAGACCAAATTATAGCTATGTAGGAGGAAGGAGTTCTGGCATCCTGCAGCACTCTCAGGTGAATATGGTTAATGATGATTTATTGTATGTTTTCAAAAAGCTAGAAGAAAAGATTTTCAATGTCCACAACACAAAGACATGATAAATGTTTGAGTTGATAGATATGCTGATTACCATGATTTGATCAGTACACATTGTACACCTATACCAAAATCATCACTTTGTATCCTATAAATATGTACCTACAAATATGTACAATTATTATGTGTCAACTAAAAAGAAAAAGAAAAATATATTGCTTCTGCCTCATTCCCTCTTCCCCTCTTCCAGGCCTTCAATTATATGTTACATGTGTTCCATATGTCTCTTCTGCTCTTTTCTGTATTTTGATCCTTTTTGTTCTCCATGTATCTCTCTGGATATTTTCAACTGATTTGCATTCCATTTCACTGAATCTGTCTTGTACTAAATCTAATCTGCTATTAGATCCACTTGTTGTGTTCTTAATATCCATTATTTCATTTTTTAAGTTCCAGAATTTCCTCTTTCTTTTCTTTTCTTTATTTCTTTTCTTTTCTTTTCTCTTTTGTGAGACAGGATCTCTGTCACTCAGGCTGAAGTGAAGTTGACTCACTGCAACCTTGACCTCCCAGGCTCAGGTGATCCTCCCACCTCAGCCTCCCAAGTAGCTGGGACTACAGGTGTGCGCCACCATGCCTGGCTAATTTTTGTATTTTTTATAGAGACAGAGTTTCACCGTGTTGCCTAGGCTGGTCTTGGACTCCTGGGATCAAGTCATCTGCCCAACTCAGCCTCCCAAAATGCTGTGATTACACAGGTGTGAGCCACCACGCCTGGCCCCAGTTTCTTTTTATGAATTCCCATTTTCTGGTGAAATTCTTTATTGTATCATTTATCTTCCTGAACATATGAATCACAGATATTTTGAAATTTATGTCTGATAATGCCAGTAAATTATGGGTATCTTTCCAGTGCCTATTTTTTTTCTTTTAGGCTTATTTCTTGGTATGCTTGATCATTTTTCATTGAAACAACTTATGAGAAAGGTAGAGACTCCCATCTTTCTTCAGTGATCGTTCGCCCAGTCCTCTGGTAGGCAGCTGAATGGGAGTGATCAAGCTAAACCAATCCCAGACTGAGCTCACTGAGATTTTGTATCGCTTGTCTACTTCAGGTTCACATCTATTTTTAGGTTATGATTCTTCAAGGATCCCAGTGGGGTATCTCCTAGCGCCTTTTCTCCTGGCTAAGCTTTGAATGTGATTGTTTTTTGTTTGTTTGTTTGTTTGAGACAGAGTTTTGGTCTTGTTGCCCAGGGTGGAGTGCAATGGCACAATCTTGGCTCACTGTAACCTCCGCCTCCCAGGTTCAAGTGATTCTCCTGCCTCAGTCTCCCGAGTATCTGGGATTACAGGCTCCCACCACCATGCCCAGCTAAGTTTCTGTATTTTTAGTAGAGACGGGGTTTCACCATGTTGGTGATGGCTGGTCTCAAACTCCTGACCTCAGGTGATCCACCCACCTCGGCCTCCCAAAGTGCTGGGATTACAGGCATAAGCCACCGCACCCCGCCATGTGATTTTTTTTTTTCCACTTAGCACTGTGATACTGAGAACTCCACTAAAAATGGTTTTTTTGCTTAGTCTCTTGCAGTATACAGTCTAATATTTGGCAAATGCTTCAAAGGGGACAACGACTGGAGTATCCAGTTCACTTTTCTGTCTCTTCCTCCCAGGATCTTGATCTCTTAAGTCTTGTCCGCCTTGGCAGGTCTGAATCCCAAATTTTGTCTTTTAAGCCTCATTATACTGCCAAAAGTTCTGCTGCCTTCTCAGCAGATGAACAGGGAGAGAAAAGCACCTTCTCCACTCTCTATAGTTCCCTTCTATCTCAGATCTTGGCCACTCAAGACCTGGTTGCCTTGGCAGCTCTCTGAGACAATTCTGGCTCAGTAGGAAGCTTCTGCACAGCATCAGCTGAGGCCAGAATCTGTTCTGATTGCTCAGTGCCTAGGCCAGTCCAAGTTATCATCTGAGAGTCTCATCAGAAGGTTACACTCCAAAGGCCGTTGCCACGCTGCCTTGGCTATCTCTATTACTGGTCAACGGCAGAGTTTAACTGGAATCATGGCAGTTAGAAATTATTTTTCTTTGGTGAAAATGGTTATGTTCAAGATATAGTGATTGGCTAGAAATATTGAGCAGGCATTCTTGCTTGTATAAAATCCAGCAAGCCCAATTAATCAAATTAGGGATTTGAACTGATTGGTCCATTGTTCAGGTCATTCCAGGAGCACTTTTCTCTGCTTGACTAACTGGATGATTATCTGGCTCATGCCATTAGTGCAATAACCGCACTTGCCTCTAGGGTACCCTTTATGTAAAATGCTGTAGGATTGCCTAAAAGGATAGGGGCGTGGCTTTTCATCAAGTTTACAAAACGAATTGTAGGACTTTTCCTGTCAGCTTGCTACACGTTTGTAAGTATGGCAGAATTTGGTTTAAGACTTATTTCCTGTCCAGGCACAGTGGTTCACACCTGTAATCCCAGCACTTTGGGAAGCCGAGGCAGGTGGATGACGAGGTCAGGAGATCAAGACCATCCTGGCCAACATGATGAAACCCCGTCTCTACTACAAATATAAAAATTAGCCAGATGTGGTGGGGCGCGCCTGTAGTCCCAGCTACTCAGGAGGCTGAGGCAGGAGAATCGCTTGAACCCGGGAGGCAGAGGTTGCAGTGAGCCAAGATCACGCCACTGCACTCCAGCCTGGGCGACAGAGCAAGACTCCATCTCCAAAAATAAAAATAAAAATAAAAGACTTATTTCCTTTGTAACATGACCTGGAAACAAGGTTTTGTAGGAGAAAACCTATAGCCCCACCTACTTTGAACTATGGGAGGCTAATGATATTGACCAAAAATAACTGCAGATACCAAATTGGCTTAGGTCAGTTTGAAAAATGTCCTTTGGTCACAAATTGATGCAAAACTTCGGTGGCCATGGTAGCCTTATTTAGTCTGGCGTGCCGCCTTTGTTTTTCTTTTAAAAATATCATGTGAACTACTGTAATGTTGGCTTTGTTTTAGCCCAATTTACCCACATTCTCTTATTAGCTCTAGTTATACACAAAGAGAAACTGAGGTTATTGAAGGGTCTCCCTAAAGATGACGGTTGATAGTTGAACACTGTATTTAAGAGAACCTCTTCCCTCTCCCCATCAGAAGAAAGCTTATAAAGCTTGTAGATATCATCTTCAACAAAAAGAACGTTAGAGAACCTGAGACTGCTTCAACAAAACACCCAGAGAACCCAGGGAGGCCTCCCAAAGTGGCATTTCTGACCACTCCGAAGGGTTTAAATTGTGTTTTGGGAAAGAGCTGACGCGGCTCAGCCCTTGTCTTCAAGGGTTCAGAGGAACAAGCCCCAAGATGCAGAGAGTACAACAGCATTGCTGCTTGTCCCGCTGTAAAAGCAGACATCAGGAAGGGCCTGGGCACAGAGTATCGTGGAAGCTTCAAACTCTTAAAACTTGGCAGGAACTTAAAGATTTTCTGGCTTGTGTCTCCATTTTACAGTCAGAGAAACTGAGGTGAAGAGAAATTTGGTAACTTAGCCAAGGTTACACAGGAGGTAAGATCTGAAGATCTGACCCGGAATTCAGTTTACCAGATTTTTTTTTTTTCTTTTGAGATTATCTGCTCTGTTGCCCAGGCTAGAGTGCAGTGGAAGGATCCTGGCTCACTGCAACCTCCACCTCCCAGGTTCAAGTGGTTCTCCCACCTCAGCCCCCTGAGTAGCTGGGATTACAGGCACCCGCCACCACGCCTGGGTAATTTTTGTATTTTTAGTAGAGATGGGGTTTCACTATGTTGGCCAGGCTGGTGTCGAGCTCCTGACCTCAGTTGATCCACCCACCTCGGCCTCCCGAAGTGCTGAGATGATAGGCGTGAGACACTGCACCCCAGCCAGTTTACTAGAGTTTTAATCCATTGTCCAGTTTACAGCTCCTCGTTTTCTCTCCTCCATAAGGAGCTCCCAGAGGCCAGTGTTTCCCGCTCAGGCTACGGGAACATTCCCCAAGGTTTACTTTATGATCCAGGCCAAGTTAGGTCAGGATCATGCTGAATCTGGCACAGGAATTTTAGGCCACCTGTGTCCATCCAGCCATCTGAGATATGGCAGAACATCCCAGGCAAGGAAAACAAAAGATCTTTGTATCAGCATAACAGACAACAATGCAGTCAGTAGGGTGGGCTACATGGAATTCTGAAATATTGATATAAAGTTATCTTCTTTTGAGAAGAGAAATACGAAAATACTGATGCCAGCAAGACAAAGCCACTTATATGTAAGCTTTGACCTAAATTTTTTAGGTCCTACATCTCTGGTTGAAATTCATTTCATTCTTTGGATGATATTGGTAGAGAACAAATATGCTGTCTTAAAAAAAAAAGAATAAACAAAATTAAATCTGTTCAGTGATTTCTCATGGGACAAACTCCAATCTCAGCAACAAAATCAAACAGGAAAAAATTCTTCAGTACTGAAGAGGTGGGTATGTGTTCAAATTTTCCATTAAAAAATGAAGCACTGTGAGGCTCTGACTTATTCGCTACTATTACAGATATTTCAAAACACCATTTACCTGCACTGTTTTGATTTCTCCAACCATAAGGAGAGTTAATGTATTTCACAAACACGGAAATCACAAAACACCTGGGATTCTTGATAGACAGGTTCACATACAGCAATAAATGCAACAGAGAACCGTTCTCAGGTATTCTCAAGTATTTTTCAACATACATATCATTTTCTAAGAATTCAGTATTGAGGAAGAAAACAAATCCAAGGTAGAATGAATGGAAAACAGGCACTGCTTTCAATGAGACACTAATATGAAACGGCTGCTTTTTATTAACAAGTAACCCACTGACAGGCTAGACATATGAACATGGACTGCATAATAAAAATGTGTTCTACAGGCCAGGTGCGGTGGCTCACGCCTGTAATTCCAGCACTTTGGGTGGCTGAGGTGGGTGGATCACGAGGTCAGGAGATCGAGACCATCCCAGCCAACATGGTGAAACCCTGTCTCTAGTAAAAATACAAAAAATTAGCTGGACGTGGTGGTGTGCGCCTGTAGTCCCAGGTACTCAAGAGGCTGAGGCAGGAGAATCACTTGAACCCGGGAGGCGGAGGTTGCAGTGAGCCGAGATCGCGCCACTGCACTCCAGCCTGGTGACAGAGCAAGACTCTGTCTCAAAAAAAAAAAAAAAAAAAAAAAATGTTCTACAGAAGCTTGGTTGGTATTGGGTCCATGGAGAAGTCTCTCGTGGATAGTCTGAGAAGAATCTAATATGGGACTAGTAAGTCTAATTTCAACATTCCTCTGTACTGGATCTACCTATCTCAGACATCACAAATCACTCCCAACACTATTTCCTGCCAAGTTCAATACTCAATGGAGAGGCCAGGCAAGTAAGATGAAACTGACTTACTGCTCTGAGGAGTCGAACAAATCTACAAACAGCAGTGCAGTGGTTACAAGTATGGGCTTTGGACGTGGAAAGAACTATGTTTACACACAGCTCAGTCATTTATTAGTGAGCAATGCTTGGGCATGTTCCTTACCTGCCCAGAACTCCTGTTTCTTCCTTCTGTCAAATTGGGATATTAACAATATCTACCTTAAAATGTTTCTGTAAAACTCAGATAATTGGTATAAAGTTCTCAGCAAAGTTCCAAGCACACTGTAAGCACTCAGTAAATGTTAGCTATTATTGTGAATAGTAGAAGAATAAGAATAACATTAGCAATGTCTAAAGAGAAAGTGTTCTGGCCCATATTAATCTAAGCCACATCACATGATACCATGACGCCTTCTACCCAGCAAGTTTACTTCTGCCTTCTCATAACCCTGGACTTTACATATACATAGCCCGACGAGGAATCAGAAATTAAAAATAAATCATTTTTTCTGCATTAAAAAATCACAAACTTAGCTAACACTGAAACTAAATATTTCAAGAAAAAGGCAGTGCTGTGTTTAAAATGTACTATATCTGAATGTCTGGAGAAATGACAGGTTGAGATACTTGCAGACTACCCCAAAGTCACTTTAGCCTCTTGTGTGGCTGACGCCTCTTAGACTTGTACCCCAGGACTTGACTGTGGATTGCATAATTTTAAAAGAAAACGAGCTATAGGAGTTACTTCCAGGAGGTACAAATATCGTTCCTACATTAGCATCAGAAGTCCAGTCCATGTTTATTCATAACTGACATGCAACTGCAATTTAACAAATGAAGCTGCATCCTCTTATCCGCTCCTGAGGGTTGAAAAGGATGTCTGAGTTCTCCTTAGGGTGTTTCAATAAGTTTATTCAAGAAAATGCCAGAAATCCAGAAGGACTGCTTTATGATGAGCGCATTTATAATGATCAGTAAGTGGCCTTTACCTAGATTCTCAGTGAAGAGGTTCAGCTGCCAGACGTGCCGCCAGACTATCCGTTCCATGTCTTGCAGTGATTGGAAGAGATGAGAATTCGCTTTCCTGTCCATGCAAATCCACTGTAAGGGATTCTAGAGTACCGGAGCCTAGAGAGTTCTCTGAGATGGAGGGTGCAGGACATTTGCAAATAAAAGAGCCTGAGGCTTAAGAGTCACTAGAGGAGCTTTAATCTTATCAGCATATTTTGCATCTACCAACTGCAAACCTAGCCTAAGGCATAAAGAATCGAGTCTTGGTCCCTCTGTTATTAAGGACTCACTCACAAAATTAACCTCTTAAAGATCTGCCCTCTGATTTTAGTGTCTGAAATGCAAATGAAGCAGCCCTTCAGTGCCTTGAGATAATTATAATAATCTTCTTAAAGCTAAAATGCTTCACTCAACTCTAAGTCTCCATTACAACCCGGACCCCAGTCTTCAGTTCATCAAAAGCCAGACAGAGGAGGATGGGGCCACGGCAGAGGAGTGATAGCATCTGTGGCTCCGATCTAATTCCAGGGATGGATGTGGACCAGGAGGTGCCTGTCCCCGAGGCAGAGGGGGTAGTTCATTCCCCGGGGGCTGTTTCTTCAGGAACTGCTCAGACGGGAAGTGACAGGTGTCATGGCTCAGTCCCTTGTCCTTCATATCCTCTGAAACAATCCTACCCAGCAAGGAGTGTACGATCTGGGTAGAGTTTTCAGAGAGCATATCTATTGTTAGGTTCTGTTGGAAAAATTCTGGCCGAATGTCAGGTGGGTACAAAGTTGTTGCTGATTTTTTTTTTTCCCCATATGGTTAGAGGATTCTTTTTTAAAGCTAAGGGAGCCTAAAAGTTGCTATCAAAGCAATGAAGACAGTGTACCAGTGGAAAGTCTGGGTTGGCCAGTGTGGTGGCTCACGCTGGTAATCTCAGTGCTTTGGGAGGCCAAGATGGGCAGATGGCTTGAGTCCAGGAGTTTGAAACCAGCCTGTGCAACATAATGAGACCTCCACCTGTACTTAAAAAGATACATGGCCGGGCGTGGCAGCTCATGCCTGTAATCCCAGCACTTTGGCAGGCTGAGGTGGGTGGATCACCTGAGGTCAGAAGTTCGAGACCAACGTGGCCGACTTGGAGAAGCCTCATCTCTACTAAAAATACAAAATTAGCTGGGCATGGTGGCAGGCGCCTATAATCCCAGCTTCTCAGGAGGCTGAGGCAGGAGGATTGCTTGAACCTGGGAGGCAGAGGTTGCAGTGAGCCGATATCGCGCCACTGTACTCCAGCCTGGCGCGTCTGAAATGCAAATGCAAATGAGACAGAGCGAGACTCTTGTCTCAAAAAAAAAAAAAAAAATTAGCTGGATGTGGTGACATGTGCCTGTAGTCCTAGCTACTCGGGAGGCGTAGGTAGGAGAATCACCTGAGCCGAGGTCCAGGCTGCAGTGAGCTGAGATTGTGTCACTGCACTCCAGCCTGGGCAAATGGACTGAGACCCTGTCTCAAAAGAAGAAAAAAAATAGGGTTAGAAGAGAGTTCAGGCCTCAAGACTACCTTTCCTTTAACTCTTTGCCCTTGATTGTGTCAAAGGGTAAGTATGTAGCCAGATTGGCAGAAAGCCCAAAAGCAGACCCTGAAGGCACACTGTGAAGCTTCCACCTGCAGAAGGTCTTGCACTTTTCCAGGCTAGAGTACTGGCCAGCACGTAGGCCCTGTGCTTGGTTGCCTACTCTGCTGTTGCTACATTGACACTTTTAATCATTTTTGAGCTAGAGTCCCTCTGTTTCATTTTGCACTGAGCCCTGCAAATGATATAGTTGGTCCTGGAGATGACATGTTTCTCTTTTAGATACATATGGGCCACCAATCTGTTTAAATCTGTTAAATGTGAAACTGCAAATTCAGATGCAAAAGACCATGTCAGAAAGATGTGGGCATGATCATACTTACAATGACACAAAGAGGTATCACGACACAAGCTACACTGGCAAAACACTTCAAGGGACTCTAACCACCCCCCCCATTCTCAATTCTCCACAATTAGAGACTCATTCCACACATACAGGGAGCCATGAAGGTTTACTATTGGGAGCCACCCCTTGTGACAAACCCGTGCCTCAGGCCCAGGACGTCCGACTTTGGGACAGTTCTATGGACAGGAAGGAAGCTCTGCAAAAGTTTAGTTTCTTTTACAGGCTGTGAGGCCTTGAGCAAGCCACTTATTAAAGCTGAACCACAGCCTGGGCAACACAGCGAGACCCTGTCTCTGCAAAAAGTGGAAACGTTAGCCAGGCATGATGGCATGTGCCTGTGGTTCCAGCTACTTGGGAGACTGAGGCGAGAGGATGGCTTGAGCCTGGGAGGCCGAGGCTGCAGTGAGCTGTGATTGTTGCTACTACACTCCAGCCTGGGTGACAGAGCGAGACCTCGTCCCAAAAAAAAATTTAATTAAAATAAAAAATGTAAAATAAATAATGAAATAAAATAAAGCTGAACCTTCATTTCTTCACCCATAAAGTAATAACTACTTTACTGGATTGCTGTGAGCACTAAATGAGATAATATGTATGAAATTATCTTACGTATTTAAAAGCTCTATAATAACTACTGGATTGCCGTGAGCACTAATGAGATAGTATATATGAAATTATTTTACATATTTAAAAGCTCTCTATAGAAACCATTTATATAGCACTATATGTGATGGTCTCCTCTCTTTTTTTTTTCCTCCCTTAAATTGCCAACTCTATCTTATACTTTGCTGAAACTTCTTCTTTCCTGAAAATGATTTATCAAATTGACAGATGCTTTTCTTCCCTCCTTTGCTCCAAATACGACCCTCGTAAAAAGAGGCAGAAGCCTTTTTCTGGAGTTTCTCACTGATTTCATAAAATGCTTACTGAAGCAGTTTCAGCCCAAATGGACAAAAGGGAACTATTACGAAAGAAGCCTAAAGACTATGTGCTTAAATTAGAACCAACATTGCTTTGCTTTGCCCACATTAACCCTTGAGAAAGCACACTGTTTTCTATTTGTAATCAGGAAATATGGATTTCTTTAAAGCTCCTTTAGGAAAGGTCAGGTCCTGTTTGAAAAGAGGGCTCACTTAAGTAAATGCCAGTATATGTAAGAATAGCAGCTGGAGGACGGGGTTGCCACCACGAAAAATACTCATATTTAACCAGAAGACAAACTGACTATTGACCAAGATGCAAAGTAGTAAGGAATCTTAACTCCTTCCTTCATTTATTTATTCATCACAGCTCTGGAGAAAATGTCAGCATCACTCGTGTGAAAGGGCACCGTGTGCCCTCTGAAAGCCTTGCCCTGCAGGCTCTGGGATCACAGAAAACGGCTACACAGCATCGCCAGTTTATAAGAAGCAGAAGAGTTTTCTCCTAAGGTTACCTTCACATGCAGCATTTAAAAACTTTTGAAGGCCAGGCACGGTGGCTCACGCCTGTAATCCCAGCACTCTGGGAGGCCGAGGCGGGCAGATCACTTGAGGTCAGGAGTCTGAGACCAGCCTGGCCAACATGGCGAAACCCCGTCTCTACTAAAAATACAAAAGTTAGCCAGGAGTGGTGGCAGGCGCCTGTAATCCCAGGTACTTGGGAGGCTGGGGCAGGAGAATCACATGAGCCTGGGAGGTGGAGGTTGCAGTGAGCCGAGATCACGCCATTGCACTCCAGCCTGGGTGACAGAGCGAAACTTTGTCTCAAAAAAAAAAAAAAAATGATGCTAGGAATATAGCATAAAACTTACCATTTTAACCATCTTTAAGTGTATAATTCAGTGGCATTAAGTGCATTCACAATGTCTTGCAACCATCACCACTATCAAGTTCCACAACTTTTTCATATCCCAAACTGAAGCTCTGTACCCATTAAATATTAACTACCCATTCTCCCTCCCCACATCCCCTGGTAATCACTATTTCTGTCTGCATGAATTTGCCTATTCTAGGTCCCCTATTTAAGTGGATTTATATATTATTGGCCTTTTTGTGCCTGGCTTCTTAGTAGAATGTCTTCAAGGTTCATCCATGTTGTAGCATGTGTCAGAATGACATTCCTTTTTCATTGCTGAATAATATTCTATTCCATGTATACCCCACAGTTTGTTTAGCCATCCCTCTGTTGAATACTTGGTCAGTGTTGTGTTTATTTCTATTTCCATTGGGAAAACACACTTAAAATACCAAGATGCCTGCTTGTCTTTTGTTATCCCAGTTAATTCAAAAAAAAGCAACTCTCAGGGGCCCAGTCACAGGCCCTCTCACACAAATCGACTCTCTTGGGAGCTTCTCCTTTGAAGAATTAAAAGAATAATAATAATAATAATAATAATAATATGAAGAAGAAGAAGAAGAAGAGGAAGAGGAGAAGGAGGAGGAGGAAAGAAGAAAGAAGAAGGAGAAGGAGAAGAAGGAGGAGAAGCAGCTCCAAATTGTTGGAACAATCTCCAAATCTGCAATTTGGAACAAAGTCCAAATCTCCAATCTCCAAACAATGCTCCAAAATCTATTTCATTTTGCTGCAAAATTCCTTTAGCAGTTTAATCTGTGAGGCAGTCTAATATTCCAGAGAGGAATCCATCCCAGAAACTACATGGACGAGTGGAGTGCCTGGTCACCATCAAATGTCTTAGAGAAGTTACAGTGTCCAGGGACAGGGTTAGGAGGGGCCTCTGTCAGGCGACCTAGATGGTGAGTCTGACTCCTCACAATCAGGCCCCTTTACTTGCAGTTCAAGGCTTGATGGGAAAGGCAGTTATGTGGCTCCATTGAATGGCTCTTCATCTGCATTTGTAAGAGAACACAGATACATAATGGTGGGACATTTCATTAGCACTTCCTTTGAAGAGATTAAGATTTAGAATACTGCCCAAAGTGAGTTAAAGTGTAACCCAGCATTATTAACACTTATTAAGAGAGGCAAGGCAGAGAGGTCACAGGTAAAGGGAAAGAGAAGATATGAAGGTAAACATCTTTGAGGTGTAAGCAGAAATCAAACCAGAAGAAATAAAAAAATGGCGTGGGATCAGCCCAGGCCTAACAAAGCGTCATTAAAGCAAAGAACTAACAATTCAAGAGAGGGCATTAGAATGAGGAAAAACATAAATGTGGAATGAGGAAACTAACTTACAGATTTTATAAAGACATAAGGAAAAACATAAAGGTGGAATGAGGAAACTCAGATTTTCATAAACACATTTTACTAATACATTACTAAGAGTAGAAAAGAACGAGGAGAAGCCTTCGCTACACTAAAGTAACAGGAAATATGCTTCCCGATTGATTCCCAAGTAGTCGCCCTGTAAGATTAGAGCTTGGAGGTTTCTCTGCCAAACCTGACAAAAATCTGCAAAATGAACGTTCCAGCACTGAGGTGTATTTAGCTTCTCCTTTTAACCTTCTGCTTCCTCTGCTGTTACAAGTTCACTACCCACGCCCTTCATGCATACGTGTGCATTCAACTGCCCACTGGAATGGGACCGTGGGAACATGCACCTGGGCGGACTTGCTCAATGTGTCCCCCCAAAATTAATTAGCAAAATTTCTTGTTAACAACGCAAACTTCATTTCTGCACTTTCCCCGCTCCCCCAACACCAGCTGTTAAGTAGCTATGGTAACACCAGCTGTGGTGAGACTGTGACACTCACAGGCACTGAAGCCAGGTCAGGAAGCACAGAGGTTCAGAGCTGGAGCTCTGGGGTCAGGCAGACCTGGATTGCAACCCCAGCTGGGTGACCTCGGACAGCTCTTTTGACCTCTCTAAGCTTTGTTTTCCTCATCTATGCATGAGGACACTAGCAGAACCCGTGAGGATGAAAATGGTGCACCCAGCACATGCCTTGAGACAAAGCAAATGCTCTATGCATGTTAACTGTGGATCATTATTTTTATTGTGACTGGTTCTGAGACAGCTTCTCCTCACCAGGCTCTTGGATTCCACACTGAACATCAAACACAGGGCACCCATGAAACCCTGTGAGATCTGGAGGGGATGCAAAAGAAGACGACCCAGAGCTTTGTCCGGCACCTGCTTCCCCAACTTCCAAAATAAATGATGCCCAGGAGTGTGAGTCCTGGCATCTGCTGCCTGGGCCTCCTCACACCTGAAGGGGAAGCTTTTTCCAACAGCTTGGACTCAATGTTCTAACACGGAATTGATGAAATGTGGTATTGCCGGAAACTGTGTGTGGCTGCCCGGGATTCATCACACCGCCCTCCCAGATCGTGAGGCTTCAACAACACAGACTACCTGGGTGTCTCCACTGGCTTCTTACAACTGGAAACTCACAGCACATATCTTCCTTAGGGAACGCATTTGCCTCGGGGTGAACCATTCACTGGTAGGAACACTAGTCGTGATCATCAGGCCACACTGGGTAGGAGGGAAGCGGGGAATGTATTCATCGAACCTCCACAGCACATCAGTGAGGTGAGTCCTCCATGGGCCCCTTCCCAACCCTCTCCTACCCAGCTGTGCCCTCGCTTCTTATTTCAAAGGAACATTTCAGGCAGATGGAACATATCACATGCACACAAAGCAGGGTACCCTCGGGCAGCTTTTTCCCCAAGCTCTCAGAAGAGCTTGGTTAATGATGTTTGTATTCAGTCCTTTGTGTTATCATATAAAACAACATGCATTTCTGAATACTCGTCTAGTTCTAATGTTGATTATAAAGGATTACTCATTGGAAGGTCTTACTTAAAAATCAGTGTCTTGACCAGGCATGGTGGCTCATGCCTGTAATCCCAGCACTTTGGGAGGCTGAGGCGGGAGGATCACGAGGTCAGGAGTTCGAGACCACCTTGGACAATATGGTGAAACCCCGTCTACTAAAAATGCAAAAATTAGCCAGGCATGGTGGTGCGCACCTGCAGTCCCAGCTACTAGGAAGGCTGAGGCAGGAGAATGGCTTGAACTCAGGAGGCAGAGGTTGCAGGGAGCCGAGATCGTGCCACTGCACTCCAGCCTGGGTGACAGAGCAAGACTCTGTATCAAAAAATAAGTCAATAAATAAAAAATAAGTGTCTTTCCCCATTGAATTGCCTACCTGACCATCTCCATCTTCAGTCAAATCTCCTAGAATCAAATATGCTCTCTCGTTTGTTATCTTTCTCTTCCTTGGCTCTGGTCTTCATTATCTAGGATGGTAAAAGTACACACAGAGCCAAGAAGAGTCCCTATCGGTTAGACGCTGCTGTGCTACCAGTGAAAGGTAAGACTGGAGCGTGCTGTCAGGTCCAACCAAGGACTGTTCAAAGTGCCAGGGGACATTGATCAAGGTCTGTGGGTGAGATTCCCAGCCCAGAGGCACTAGGGGAATTCTGAAGAAATAAACAAAGCTTAGCACTCAGTAATGATAACATTTGTATTCATCTCTTACAATAATAATCAACGCTTGGCCACATCTGTCCTCACTTGTTGAAAAAGGAAATCTCTTCCTTGTCTTTATGGCGAGTTGACAGGAGGTTTGACACTCCAGGGAAATAAAGAATTCTCAAATATTAGCTTCACGCAAAAAGATCAAAGATGTGGGAACAGGAATAAGCATTACATCTCTCTGCAGTCTGCAGACCTGAGCACTCAGTGATGCTGGATACACATCGAGTTTCCTTGTTTAATGCTGAGTTCCCAACCACCATGCTCCTTTCCCCAGGGGAGCAGTTCAAACACAGAAGCCTGATATTTTATATTGTCCTTTTTACGTTACATTTGAGCACGGGAATGGTTCAGGAGTTCCATTGTTCTCTAGACAGATTGACTGAAACATGGAAACAGAACCTGCAACCATTTGTTGCCAGCTGGGCTGGTGGCTACGGGCATTCTCTGAGCCCAGAGAGGGCCACAGAGCTGTTATGAGGCCCTTTGCCAGTTCTTGTTTATGGAGAAATCCACACAGTAGTAAAGATAAGAGAAAAGCCATTTTGTCTCTGCCATTGGTTTGAAGCAGATGCTTCTTTCTAAAGGACAAATATTCCAAAGATGGCACTTATAGGTGGCATTTTAAATAGGAAAATGCACGCACAACGCACGGCCAGCACAGTGCCTGGCATATTACAAGGACTTCTCATATGGTCATTGTTGCCAAATCTTAAATATAATATAATTGTAGATAAAACACTGTAGAGAGAAATAGGAAGGGAAAGTTTGAATCAACCAACTAATCTGGGTGAACTGCTGTCTGGATCTTGCAGACTCCTTTTCTATAAAATGAGGAAATGGGCCCAGATGACCTCTGTGGTCCCTTTCACTGAGAATATTTAATGATTCTAAGGGTTTCTATCCAAACTTTAAACATTTCTCTCTCTCTTTTTTTTTTTTTTTTAACATTTTAAAAGTATTAGGATTAAACTACTTAGCACTTGGAACACATAAGATAAATAACATCAAGAATCCCAAGTCCTCCACAGAGTGAGAACAATTCAGGTACAGACAGCAGAGTGTGTTTCTAAAAGGAAAGAGTACAAACTCTGCCTGTATACCCGGTCACTCTGCCAGCTCTGACTCTTGGAAAGCATTAGTGCAACACTTCAACTCTTGATGTACTGGTTATACGGTACCAAGCTGGCCTATAACCCACAGAAGCACGAGGGCCTGTTTATGTCACTGAATGCAGAAACCCTCAAACACCTGCTGGAAATCTGCTGAGAATCATGGAACCCCTAAGCTGGCAGAGCACTCAGAGGCCCTAGCCCAGTATGGCAGTCCCTCAGACTGACCCCTGACTGTGGGTCACCCGCTTCCACATGTTATGCCAACAGGCTGGCCCAGGTACCATGCCCAATCCCACCCTGCATGTAGTTCGGCAGTTTTTTTTCTTTCCTCCCCCCCGAGACAGGGTCTTTGTTGCTCAGGCTGGAGTGCAGTGGCACGGTCATGGCTCACTGCAGCCCTGACTTCCCAGGCTCAAGTGATCCTCCCTCATCAGCCTCCCAAGTAGCTCGGACTACAGGTGCATGCTACCACACTAGGCTAGTTTTTTGTTTGTTGTTTGTTTGTTTGTTTGGAGAGACAGGGTCACGCCATGTTGCCCAGGCTGGTCCTAAACTCCTGGGCTCAAGCGATCCACCTGCCTCAGCCTCCCAAAGTGTTGGGATTATAAGTGTGAGCCACTGCACCTGGCCGGGCAGCTTTAATTATTTGAAAGTTTTTTCTTATTTAAGTGGAAATTTGTCTATTTGCAATCCTTATCCACGAATCCTAGTTCTATATAGAGCAACAGAAAAGAAGCCTGTGTCCTTTCAAATATTTGAGTATCCTTTCTACTCTCTCCCCTTGGTCTTCTCCAGGCTGAACTCCCTCAGATTTGCAACTGTTGCTACCTGACGGTTTCTGGACCAGTCAGCATCCCATCTGTCTCTTGTTGTTATTTCTTTCTTTAGATTATTCATTTCTTCTTCTTAATCTGTATGAAGAAAGGATTGTTTTCTATCATCCTCTGACTTTCTATCATCCTTGACTGTCAAACTACATTCTCTGTATGGAAACAATGCAAATTAGCCAAGTTAGGTAAGGTGACTGCTTACTATTTGCAAATGTCTCAACCAAACAACCATTCCTCCTCCTTTACACACTGATCACAAACCAAGGTATACATGGGAGAACAAAAATATAACAACAACAACAAAAAAACTCTGAAAGCATAATCAGAAAAGAGCTAACAAAAAAGACTTCACACGATATTGATGCATATGCCTCTAAGATATTAATACCTGGCTTCTGTAGATATACCCTGGGTGCCTATAGCTCAACCAGGTTGAAATATGTATTTCTGGAGAAGCTTATCTGCGATGTCTGTTTTTAGTGATAACAGGAGCTCACTGTTGGAACTCAATAAATAGAAAAGATTATTACTCTCTGTCAACATTTATGTTGTTTTGTCCTTTGAATAAATGGGAGCCTTAGTGATCTTACTCAGTTACAGGGTTCTAAATGCCATCTAGATGCCAATGATTCCCAAATTTATATCTGCAGCCCAGGCTGCTTCCTGAATTCCAGACTCATCCATCCAGCCCTCTGCTGGACGTCTCCTCTTGATGTCTAGTAGGCATCTCCACCTCGGTGCATTCAGCTGCGCTCCTGATCCCTCAGGACCCCTCCCCATCTCATTTAATGGCAGCTCCATCTTTCCAACAGGTTATGCCAAAATCCTCGGGCTGATTCTCACAACCTTACTTTCTCTCACAGTAATCAAGAATTTTATTGGCTATCTTCAAAATACATCCAGAATCTGTCAACCCCTTCACTGCTCCCACCCTGGTCTGATCCATCACCACTCTCACCCACGTCGCTGCCATCACATCCTGCCTGGTTTCCTTCCTGCTACTCACTGTTCACCCACAGTCGATACCCAACAGGCAGCCAAAGCGACCCTTTTAAAATGCAAGTCAGGGCCGGGCGCGGTGGCTCACGCCTGTCATCCCAGCACTTTGGGAGGCCGATACGGGTGGACCACAAGTCAGGAGATCGAGACCATCCTGGCTAACACGGTGAAACCCCATCTGTACTACAAATATAAAAAATTAGCCAGACGTGGTGTAGTCCCAGCTACTCGGGAGGCTGAGGCAGGAGAATGGCGTGAACCCGGGAGGCGGAGCTTGCAGTGAGCCGAGATCGCGCCACCGCACTCCAGCCTGGGCGACAGAGCAAGACTCCGTCTCAAAAAAAAAAAAAAATGCGAGTCAGATCCTGGTGAAAACACTGCGATGGTTCCCATTTCACACAGGAGAAAAGCAATGCTCAAGTCCTTCCACTCCTCGGCAGACACCCAAGAAAGAAAAACACACCCCCACAGAAACGTGGATATGAACGTTCATCACAGCATCACTCACAACAGCCAAACGTGGGAAAACCCAGATGTCCATCCACTGATGAATGCATCACCAAAAACTGGTCTATCCATACCATGGAATACTAGTCAGACACAGAAAGGAATAGGTGCTAATAATGTTTGTTACAACATGGATGGACTTTGAAACCATTATGTGACGTGAAAGAAAGCAGACACAGAAGTTCACGTATTGTATGATTCCATTAATATGAAATGTCCAGAATAGGCAAGTCCGTAGAGCCAGAATGTTGATGAGTGGGTGCCAGCGGCTGGAAGAGGGACGTGTGTGGGTGTGTGTTTATGGTATAAAGTTTATTTTTGGGGTGAAGAAAATGTTCTGCTTGCACAGTATGATGACTAGACTAAAAACCAGTAAATTATATGCCTCAAAGGGGCAAATATTATGGTATATGAATTACATTTAAATTGTTAAAAAGGCCAAGTACTTACAATGGCCTCCTAGGCCCTATAGACTCTGACCCTCCTGAGACTTCCCCGACTTGCTCTGCTACCATTCGGTCTCTTTTCCAGCCAACCTGGACTCCTTGCTGTTCCTTGAACATGACAGGCCCGCTCTCCCTTCAAACCTTTAACCTTGCTGTTCCCTCTGCTGGGAATGCTTTTCCCTCAGAGATATCCAGACACCTGCTTGGTTCAGCTCCCCCACTTCCTCTATGCCTCTGCCCAAATCTCACCATGTTATGGACCCTGGCTACTCATGCCACCTGCACCATTCCACTTCCGTACCTGCGCTACCTTGTTCTTTTTTCTCCATAGCATTTATCACCTTCCAATCTGCCACAGGATTGACTAACCTACTGTGTTTGTGGTGGATGATCTGTCTCTGCCCCTTCCTATCCCCCACCCCCACCAGGATCTAAGCTGCCTGAAGGCAGGAATCTTCGTCTTGGTTCCCCAGTGTGTCTCAGGTGCCTGGGACAGTGCCCGGCACACAGTGCATGCTTGAAAAGTATTTGCTGAATGCACAAACAAATGAATTTTCTGTCTTGAGCTTCAAAAATATGCTTTCTAAGCCAGGATTTAGAACCAAGTGTTTTTTATTTAGAAAAGAGAAATGGGGCTGAGCTAAGAGGGAGCATCAAGCACAAATGACTAATCCCACATAATTAAAAAATAAGGGTGAAACCAGCTCCAGTTTTGCAGTTTAATTTTTACAAACTAGTAGCCTGCTAAAGTCTTTATTTTGCCAGAAACGTACTGGCTCACTCTTAGAAATATCATCTCCCACACCTGTTTCAGACTTCCACCCTTGACCTCTCCTCTCAAGGTGTAACAATTCTTTCCATCATTCCAGGGACAAGCATTTTTTCTGTTTTTCTCAGACACATCAACACATATGCTCCATTGTCCCTTTGAACTATGGGGGTGCATGTATTGTTTACACCCTGGCTGTTTATTTACTTCTCCATTAACAAAGTATAAAAGGGGTGGCCAGGTGCGGTGGCTCTCGTCTGTAATCCCAGCACTTTGGGAGGCTAAGGCAGGCGGATCACTTGAGCCCAAGAGTTCAGACCAGCCTGGGCAACATGGTGAAACCCCATGTCTACAAAAAATCGCTGGGCATGATGGCATGTGTCTGTGGTCTCAACTACTCGGGAGGCTGAGGTGTGAGCATCACTTGAGCCCGGGAGGTCAAGGCTGCAGTGAGCCAAGGTCACGCCACTGCACTTCAGCCTGGGTGACAGAGCAAGACCCTGTCTCAAGTAAGTAAGTAAGTAAGTAAGTAAATAAATAAATAAATAAATAAATAAATAAATGTGTCTTTTAAGACAGTTTCTTAAAAGCCAAAAACAATATAAATTTGCCCTTCATTGGATTTTAAAATTAATATTGAGATAAAATTCACATAACATAAAGCTCACCATAAGTATACAGCTAAGTGATTTTTCATATATTCACAGAGTTGTGCAATCACTATGCATGTAATGATGTAATCATCATGGAACACGGAATATCTTCCTCACTCACACCCTTTAACACTCACTCCTCGTCTCACTCAACACCCCCAGTTCTAGGCAACCACAAATGTATTTTCTGTCTCTATAGTTTTGCCTATTTTGGACATTTCATATAAACGCAGTTTACTATATGTGGCCTTTTGTATCTGGCTTATTTCAGCTACCAGAACGTTTACAAGGTCCATCCACATGGCAGCATGCATCAGCACTTTATTCCTTTTTGTGGCGAATAACTTTCCATTGTGCAAATACACCACATTGTTTATTCATGCATCAGGGATAGACCTTTGGGTTACTTCCTCCATTTTGGCTATTTTGACTAACGCTGCCATGAACATTCGTGTACTAATGTTTGTGTGGATGTATGTTTTCAGTTCTCTTGGGTATATCCCTAAGAATGGAATTGTTAGATCATTTGGTAACTCTGTGTTTAAGCTTTTGAGGAACAGCCAGACTGTGCCACAGCGGCTGCCCTGTTTTACATTCCCACAAACAACGTATAGACTGTTCCAGCTTCTCCACATCCTCACCAATGCTCAAAATGCCCCCAATGCACGATCTGTCTTTTTGATTATAGTCATCCCAGACGGTTTGAAGTGGCATCTCATTGTGGTTTTTATTTGCATTTTCCTAATGACTAATGATGTTAAGCATCTTTTCGTGTGCTTATTGGCCACCGGTATATGATTGGAGAAATATCAAATGCATGATTTGTAAATATTTTCTCCCATTCCTCTGATTTATTTGTAAGAGATGGAGTCTGGCTCTGTCGCCCAGGCTGGAATGCACTGGTGCAATCATAACCTTGCAATGATTTTTTTTCCCGCCTATCCAATGACCTTCTGACCCCCAACCAGGACCCGCCTCAGAATGTCTAGTGGTGCCGCAGGCTGTCCCCATTGTAAACAATGGAACCCTACAGTTTCCTCCTCACTTGTTACTCAACCAAGTCTTCGCTCAGTAGAGCTGAGGCCTGAAAACCTTCCAAGAAGCATGTACAAGTATGACCTCATTCCGATTCAGTGGCAAGGAGGCAGCCGGTGTTGGGTCAACTGTCTGAGCAGCTCAGTCTAAAAGGCAGAGATGGCCACAGTCTCCACAAAACCCAGCAGATGGGTGCTCCAGTGCCAATCAAAAGATTGTCAGTGAGTGATAAGGATATACGGACAGAGCTGTTTGTCAGAGTTTTTCATTCTGAATGGGCATATTGGTAGCACTCTACTCAATGAAAATATTGCTATTCACAGTAGTTTACAAGTTGTCATTTATATGAGCAGTGAAAACCTTTCATACCCCCAATTTTTTTTTGTTTGTTTTACAAAATATATTCCAATGAGAGAAGAGCTGTACAACATGCATGGAACTAGAGGTCATTATGGGAAGTGAAATGAACCAGGCACAGAAAGACAAATATCACACGTTCTCACTCATATTTGGGAACTAAACAAGTGGAGTTGGTGAAGACAGAGAGTAGATGGGTGGTTACCAGAGGCTGGGATGGGCAGCGGGGATGGGAGACGAAGAGAAGTTGTTTAGTGGGTACAAGTATACAGTGTGCTAGAAGAAATAAGACCCAGTGTTTGAGGCTGCGTGCGGTGGCTCACGTCTGTAATCCCAGCACTTTGGGAGGCCAAGGCAGGCGGATCACCTGAAGTCAGGAGTTCAAGACCAGCCTGGCCAACATGGTGAAACCCCATCTCTACTAAAAATGCAAAAAATAAGCCAGGCATGATGGCGCATGCCTGTAATTCCAGCTACTCGGGAGGCTGAGGCAGGAGAATCACTGGAACCAGGGAGGTGGAGGTTGCAGTGAGCCAAGATCGCACCATTGCACTCCAGCCCAGGCGACAGAGTGAGACTCCAAAAAAAAAAAAACAACAACAAAAAAAAGCCAGGAGCAGTGGCTCACGCCTGTAATCCCAGCACTTTGGGAGGCTGAGGCAGGTGGATCACGAGGTCAGGAGATCAAGACCATCTTGGCTAATGTGGTGAAACCCCATCTCTACTAAAAATACAAAAAATTAGCCAGATGTGGTGGCGGGCACCTGTAGTCCCAGCCACTCGGGAGGCTGAGGCAGGAGAATGACTTGAACCCGGGAGGCAGAGGTTGCAGTGAGCTGAGATCATGCCACTGCACTCCAGACTGGGTGACAGGGCGAGACTCCATCTCAAAAAAAAAAAAAAAAGGACCTACTGTTTGACAGATCAGTAGGTGACTACAGTTTACAATAATCTATTGTATATTTCAAAATAGCTAGAACAGAAGAACTCAAATGTTTCTAGCATAAAGAAAGGGGAAATATTTAAGGTAATGGGTATCCCAATGACACCAATTGGATCTTTACAATGATATGAACGTATTAAATTATCACATGCACCCCCAAAATATGTACCTCTATTATGTATCAATAAAAAAACCGAGAGAGCAGAGCTGCACTGAGGAGGAGCCACTGACGGGCCCCTGGCCCTTTGCAGGGATTCCTGTTCTCTTGAGCTGGGCAACCCCGGCCCCTCCTTGGAACATAGTCTGAAAAGCAGTTATTGACTTGGAAATTCACTGTGATAAAATTGGTTGTATAATCCTATTTGTTGTAAAACCTATGAAAGTATTTCAAGTATATTTTTGAAAGTATTTAGAGCTATATACCAAGATCATAATAACAGTTGCGGGCACTGAGTGGTTCTTTTGCTTGCTTTCGTTTCCTTCTTCCTTTCTCCCCCAACCCCCATTAAGAATGGGATGAATTGTGTCATTTAAAAAGCAAGTGAGTGAAAGAGAAAGGCAGTCCATATAGTGCAGAATATAGAATTCAGCCTCTTTTGTCGATGGGGGCACACTCGCCTAGCTTGCCACACCAGGAATGTCACCAACACATTCAAATGGCAATGACAGGCATCGGTTGTAAACCTTAATGTCTAATGTGTACCAAGCCAAGATCATGAACATTTAAAGCTTTCAGGTAAATCAGAAACATCAATTAAGAAATTGAAAACCATGAGACCATATAAAAGACACATCACGAAACCACTGCATACTAGCCCTCCAAAACAAAGGCGTTTGCAGCTAACCTTTGGTCAGAGGGTCTTTATTGAGCAAGTCAAAGGAGACCATGGTGATCCACACCTGCTCCCTCAGCTTATTCTCTTACTCTTGACACCTCTACATTTTCCCACAGGTCTTGACTGTATTGATTTGCCAGTGTTCTCTTATTGTTTACAGATTGTTCATTTTCCCTAAATAAAGGGTAAGTTGCACGAGACAGAGAGCAGAGTCCTAAGTGAACAACACACTGCTGTCTACACAGAAAGCAAATGACCAGGCTTGGTGATTTTCATCTCAACAGAAAACAATTCTTGCACACCTACCTCTTGGCTACATTAGGTAAATAACTTTGTGCCCAGTCTGGGGGAGCCCACTGTTTAGAGAAAGAGACAGACACATAAATGATCATTTCAGTAGCACATTGTAGGTCCATGCAGGCCTGGGGAACCCTCCTGACCCAGCCCAAGGGGCTCAGGGAGGTTGCTTGGAAGAGCCATGGCCTTGAAAAGTAAGAAGGAGTTCACTGGAGTTATCCGAGGGCAACAAGGTGAAGTGAGCCAGAGAAAGACGGCCAACCACGGCAGCCACTTATTTCTCTCTCAAATCTCTTTGGAGGGAAAATACTACATAAGATCACTATTGTTAGCATACCGGTTGAAGATCCCTAACCCAAAATGCTCCAGAATCCAAAACTTTTTAAGCACCAGCATGATGCTCAAAGAGAATGCTCACTGCAGCATTCAGGACTTCAGATTTTCATTTTAGGGTGCTCACTTGATAAATATAAGTACAGTAGAAATATTTCCAAACCCCCCAAAATTCAAAATCCAAGACACCTCTGGTTTCAAGTGTTCTGAATAAGGGATATTTCAGATATTACTCAACCTGTAATAAAGTTCTAAAAGCCAAGAGTCCACTGGTGAAGGTTTTACAAGCAGGCCAATGAATACATCCATTCACTCATTTATTCCTCAATAAATACGTGGTGAGAACCTCCCACGGGCAAGGCGCTGTGTGTTTCTGTACGTCTCACATAAGTGGAGACAGGCCTGGTGCTCTCCCTCTAGATCTTTGCCTGGCTGGTTCCCATCACAGCTTTTTGACTGGCAGGTATTTTCTGGCTTGTTTATTGTCTATATCCCTCTATCAGAATGTAAGATCTGACTGGGCGCAGTGGCTCACGCCTGTAATCCCAGCACTTTGAGAAGCCGAGGTGGGCGGATCATCTGAGGTCAGGAGCTTGAGACCAGCCTGGCCAACATGGTGAAACCCCATCTCTACTAAAAATACAAAAACTAGCTGGGTGTGGTGGCGGGCGCCTGTAATCTCAGCTACTCGGGAGGCTGAGGCAGGAGAATCACTTGAACCCGGGAGGTGGAGGTTGCAGTGAGCCGAGATCGTGCCATTGCACTCCAGCCTGGGAGACAAGAGCAAAATTCCATTTCAAAAAAAAAAAAAAGTAAGATCTAAGAGAGCAGGGGGCTTGTCTTTATTGCTCTATTATACTGAAGCACCTGGAATCATGCCAAGCACAGGCTCAATGAATGAATTGATTAATATGTATATTATATATCCAGAGAGAAAACGCCGACATACAGCTCTAAGAGATATAGAGATCTGTATGACAAGAAGTCACTCATGAGTACGTTTTTATTAATTTAATAGAACATATTATTGTGCAGTAAAATAAAACTTTTCTATTGGATAAATATATTGAAAACACTGTAACAGCAGTTGTCAACATAATTGTGACTTTTGTCTTAACTTCTATATCTTTATAGGTGTCTTTTAGTCATCTAGAGTTAAAAACATAACTATCAGGCCAGGTGTGGTAGCTCACACCTGTAATCCCAGCACTTTGGGAGGCCGAGGTGGGTGGATCACCTGAGGTCAGGAGTTCAAGACCAGCCTGGCCGACATGATGAAACCCCGTCTCTACTATAAATACAATAAAAATTAGCTGGGCGTGGTGGTGCATGCCTGTAATCCCAGCTACTCGGGAGGCCAAGGCAGGAGAACTGCACGAACCTGGGAGGTGGAGGTTGCAGTGAGCCGAGATGGTGCCACTGTACTCCAGTCTAGGTGACAGGGCAAAACTCCTTCTCAAATATATATATATATACACACACACACACACATACTATCAAAATCTAAATAATAGGCTCAACTTTGGTAATCATTTTTACACTGTTCTGCTTGAATATACGACAATAAATGTAGAAGCCAAAATAACAATGGCTTTGGCTCTCTAGAAAATGCTTCCAGCTAAACAAGATCAGAACCCATCTGAAAATTCTTGAGTCAGTCATCAAGTAAAATATATACTATATACCTATGAGAGGAGAGAGAGAGAGAATATGAAATTGATGAAATTGTACTAGGGAGTCCAGAAGGAAATGAGCATCTGAAAGCTACATAGAGATGATTTCAAATTATGCACGAATAGGCAGGGAATTCCGAAGCCTAGCACGATGGCCTTCTTGTCCTTCAGGAGACACAGAGCAAAGACAGGGGTCAAAGTGGTGGCCGGGCGTGGTGGCTCACGCCTGTAATCCCAGCACTTTGGGAGGCCGAGGCGGGCAGATCACAAGGTCAGGAGATGGAGACCATCCTGGCTAACTCGGTGAAACCCTGTCTCTACTAAAAATACAAAAAATTAGCCGGGCGTGGTGGCGGGTGCCTGTGGTCCCAGCTACTCGGGAGGCTGAGGCAGGAGAATGGCGTGAACCCGGGAGGCGGAGCTTGCAGTGAGCCGAGATCGCACCACTGCACTCCAGCCTGGGCGACAGAGTGAGACTCCATCTCAAAAACAAAAACAAAAACAAAGTGGCATTATGCTTCAGAAAAATGGTTTTTCCAAGCAGTGACTGTTTTGCCACCCCTTGCCAATTCTTCCTTTGTAACTTGAATCCACTGCTTTCTTTTCATGTCCACCCGATCCAGATTCTCAGTAACTCCAATCTAGATGATTGTGACAGCCTAGTTCGCCTCCCTTCTGCCTAACACACGAGCACTACCAGGCCCCTGGCACTTAAAATCCTTCAGGGAACTCCCCCTGCCCTTAGAATCTAAGTCTGGGTGTCAACGTCACCTCCAATCAGACCCATCTTCCCAACACGTCCTCTAGCTGAGCAAACCAAACTGAACAATCAGTGTGTGTGGCTCGGAACACCCTCCCATTACTCAGGTTTGTCTGAATCCTATCGGTTCTTTCAAGGCCTACGTCAAACCCCATTTCTCCCCCGAGACTCCCGCCAACCAACTCTGATCTACTGTGACCTCCGGTTTCTTTGAACTCCCATAGAATTCCCTTCCAGTACCACTCATTTGGCATGAATCCATAGACTGCTTTCTGCACCTGTTTAATTGTGCAATCAGAGACTAGATTGTATCCTCCTTACAGACCACAGGTAGGGAGGAAAAATGTTTTGATTAATGGTTTAAGTGAGCTGGGTTTGGGATGTGTTGCAATAGGGCTCTAAGTTGTCCATTTCTTTAAAATAAATAGTGACAATTACATTCAATCAAGGATAGACAGAAGTATACGTTTTTATCAGTTTGTGTGGCAGTTTTTAAAAGGTTTGGGTGATACAAAAGCCACTTGAAGAGGCTACCAGATACTCTTAGCTGTGCTTAGCCCCACCTGGAATTCAGGTAACCACAGAAAGCATGGTTTCGTCCTGGAGTGAAGGATAACTGATTAAGCCAGGATAGCTCTCACTATAGGTAGGGAACATTAATAATACATATTAAATATTAATAATACATACTATATGCCTGACAACTATGCCAATCAGTTCTGCTACCTATAACCCCCATCTTTTTTTATAATGGATACCACTGAAGAAAACTGAACCACAAAATCTCTACATTAAAGCCAGTTAATGGCTTGATTTTAATTGAGATGAGAGGCAAGACCATTTCAAGTCAAGGCAGCTCATCCCTGCCTGACATTCTCCCCTGAGTGACGCTGTTTCTCTGGATGCCACAGTGCAGGAGTGCATGACATTCTCCCCAAGTGACGCTGTTTCTCTGGATGCCACAGTGCAGGAGTGCAGTAGGAAGACTCCAGGTAATGTTTGTACGTGAGACTCTGGCGTTTTTGCTCCAGCCATGCTGGTAGGGAACAAGGGAGGTCATTTACGTTGCAGCCAGAGGCCAGTTGAGGAGGGACTCTTAGCAGAGCCACCCTTCTCTTTCTACCGCAGCTGATGTTAAAACACAAAACCACAAAAATACAACATACATACATATACATGAATATATATTGTGTGTAAATATTTAAAAATACATACACACAAGGTATGTGTGTATATATATTTGCATTTAAAAATAATTACTTTAGCAAGTAGTTTCACTTGCTGAAGGAATAAGAAGTATTTCCCATGCAAGAACCCTTAATTTAACAGTCCAGATGCAAACTGCTAAAAGAGCATAGCGAGGGGGAAAGAAAACACTCCAGATCGAGTTTTACTGGCAGTTCTACTGCCGGACGTTATAACTTTATAATAAAGAGAAATGTCACTCAATTCAATAACAAAGCCCCTCCCTCACCTCTCTCTCTCTCTCTCTCTCTCTAAGATGTAAGTATTTCAGACAATAATTTCTCAGCCCAAATTCCCTCTTTTGGCTAACAGCTCCCTTCTTCTCAGCAAAGGCTTTCTTATTTTTCTGTTCTTTTCTTTAACCTCTTCAGGTTCTCATAAAAATCACAAATGACTCCTGGGACATTGTGCAATGGTTCCATTCTTGGAAGAGTGAAATGCTACTACCGTGACAGGCTGCTGCCTGCTCTATAAAAAGGATGCCTGAAATAAGGTAATTACCTCTTTTGTGATGAGAGTGAAGGGAAGAGAATCCTCAGAGGCAATGAGGTGTCTGGGAAGGGGACAGAGAGGGCGTAGATATTCTCCCTCCCTCTCCTTCTCCAAACCAATGACCCCCCTCTGTCTGGTTCCATGTCAGCAATTAAGGAAAAGTGGTTTATGGTAACTCTGTAGTGTTGTGTTTTCCATCTAAGAGTCACTGGAGAATGGGTTCTTATGGAAGATAAAAATAGTCTTACGATGGATAAGCATGGCTGGAAGGTGGAAATGAAGTTGGTTTAAAAGTTTCTGATCATTCCAAATCATTAGAAAGAAATTTAAAGAATTCTGGGTTAGTGTTCCCCATCCCCACCCCCACCCTGCTTTCTGGGAAAGTTCAAAGGAATAGGAGGCCATAGATCAAAGAGCAAATGCTTCAGGGGTGTTCAACCTGGCTCTCACCAAAGGGCCTAGATCTAACACATGATTTAAACCATTATTAAAGGCAGAGACTGCTGTGTGTGAAGGCCACTGCCAACCCCCCAACCCCCACTTTTTTTTTTTATGACTCTGTTGCCCAGGCTGGAATGCAGTGGCAAGATCTCAGCTCACTGCAACCTCCACCTCCTGGGTTCAAGTGATTCTCCTGCCTCAGCCTCCCTAGTAGCTGGGATTACAGGCACACACCGCCATGGCCAACTAATTTTTGTATTTTTAGTAGAGATGGGGTTTCACCATGTTGGCCAGGCTGGTCTCAAACTCCTGACCTCAAGTGATCCGCCCACCTCAGCCTCCCAAAGTGCTGAGATTACAGGCATGAGCCACCGCGCCCGGCCTCCAACCATGTTTAAACCAGACTAATTAAAATATCAGACTGGTGGGGCCCATTAGGAATTCAGATCCAGAGATTTCCATCTACCAGCAGAGAGGGGAAGAGCTGAGACTTGGAGGGCTCTTTTTGTTTGCAGTCACTCCAGAACCAAACACTGACGGGCTTCACTGATAGAAGAAGACCCTTTTCTCCAGGAACCAGATTTTCATCTCAAACTCTCAGGGCAACAAAACCAGAATTTTCAAGAAATGAAGAATATCAGGCACCACTGCCTGGAAATGTTCCATGAAGAAGCATCTGAATGGGATGAGACCGAAACACAGAATAAAGAGCTCGCATCATCTTGGTGCCACTTTTTTCCTCATCCTTTTATCCCACCACATTGGGGGTATAAATGCCTAAGAGTTAACAGGATTTATTTTATTATGGAATGTTCAAAAACGTTGATGTTCTAGGTGAATCCTCAGTTCCAAATGTCCAAAGTCCAAAGCTCCCTGACTTCCAATCTTATAGTGTTGAGCAAAAACAGCCATTTTTAGCATCTGGTTGGACCCAAGACCTTGAGTGACTTTATTATCTAGCTGAATGCAAAAATAAGGCTGAGGTTAGACGGGCCTTCTTCTCGAAGTGAGTGTCATTCATTTAAGAAACCAGAAAGTTTTTGTGTTTTTCTTTTTGTTGGTTTGTCTTTCTTTTTGAGATGGAGTCTGTTGCCCAGGCTGGAGTGCGGTGGCGCCATCTCAGCTCACGGCAACCTCTGTCCCCTGGGTTCAAGCAATTCTCGTGCCGCAGCCTCCCAAGTAGCTGGGATTACAGGCACTCACCACCACGCCCTGCTAATTTTTGTATTTTTAGTGGAGACAGGGTTTCACCATGTTGGCCAGGCTGGTCTCGAACTCCTGACCTGAAGTGATCCACCTGCTTTGGCCTCCTAAAGTGCTGGGATTACAGGCGTGAGCCACCACGCCCAGCCGGAACCAGAGAGTTTTTAAAGCATGCATGTGAAAAGGCAGTCAAGTATTTAAGTCAAGATCCTCACAACTGTCTGCCCACACATTCCCCTTTCTTTCAAAAGAACAAGTAAAAAGGAAAACGTTTGTCATTGAAAATCTTTTCTTTCCTTCCTACAGCTGCTTTGATTTACCTTGTAAATCCCAGCCACACATTCTGCTTTAGATAGCCCTCATTTTCAACACTCTCTTAAAATAACTTCGGGTTGCAGCCTCCTTCACCAGATCCTTTCTTCTTCTGGACTTACTTGCTCCCTTGAGACAGAGAAACAAGAAAAGAAGCGTCTGCTTGCTGGACATCTGACCTGGGAGCCGGCGTGCAGGCCATTTGTTCACTCAGCTGTTACAGACTTAAAGGAGAGCACAAACCCCAGGATTTTTTATCAGGAGGGAAACAAACAAACAAACAAACAAACAAACATTCCCATCGATCTAAATCAGACTCTTACTCTACAGTCTGGTCCAGAGACTGGCTAAAAGGGGTATATGGATCCCCTGAAAACATATGCCACATTTGGTGTGTTTGGGCATTTTTCTGAGCAGCAGGGCCCACTGTTTTCATGAGATGCTCGTACTGTGCGCCTTCTATGAACACTTGCCCGTCCAGGTCCACTCTTCAATCTCTCTACTCTGCTCTGCGCCAGGAGGCAGACGGATGCAAGCTGCCTCGACAGGCTTCCTTCTGGCTTCAGGATGGGCTCAGCCCTTGGAGAGCGCAGAAGGAGATGGGAGAGGACAGGGCACTTGTCCTCCTGGCTCCTGTCCCATGATGCCTCTCAGCTGATGCTCCCGGGTCCTCCCTCTCGGGGTGGTGGTCGTGGCTTCCCCTCCTGCCCTCAGGCCTCCCCAGCGGCTGGCAGGAGCACTGCGCACCACGGCTTGCCTGCACCTGCGACAGCTTTTGTAAACAGTCCTTTCCAAAAACTCTCCGTTAGACGCAGCGCGCCATCCGCTTTCTGCCAGGACCCCAGGGATATTCGAGGAGTTGGTGACTCTAGAGAGCTGTGAATATCTACGTGCTAAAGGCACCTGTGTAAATGGGAAGGAAACGGAACACAGAGGAAAGCAAAAACCGGAAAGATACTTTCTCCGTGGCTCTTTCCATCCTTTGGTCGATAGAATCTCTCTAAGCCGTGCCTTTAAGTGAACCCCAAGCAGGAGGCATGGGGGCTCCTGCCTGAGCAGTGATGCTTTTCCCCCTCCCCTGGTCACGAGCTTAGGTGATGGGGCAACCGCCTCTCACCAGCAGCTCCCTCATCTCTCACCCAGGAGACTGCAGCGGGAACAGTCCCCACCCACAGGCGGCTGGAGGAAGAAATGAGGCAATGGGTCCGGGCGCGGTGGCTCACGCCTGTGATCCCAGCACTTTGGGAGGCCGAGGCGGGCGGATCACGAGGTCAGGAGATGGAGACCATCCTGGCCAACATGGGGAAACCCCGTCTCTACTAAAAATACAAAAAATTAGCCGGGTGTGGTGGCGGGCGCCTGTAGTCCCAGCTGCTCGGGAGGCTGAGGCAGGAGAATGGCGTGAACCCGGGAGGCGGAGCTTGCAGTGAGCCGAGATCGCGCCCCTGCACTCCAGCCTGGGCGACAGAGTGAGACTCAGTCTCAAAAAAAAAAAAAAAGGCATGAGGTAACACAGGTAATCTGCGGCTGGGTGCCCGGGCAGCCTGCAGCAGTGTCCACGTGGCTCCTGTGCATTCGAACCCCGGCCTCTGGCTCTGCACATAGCTGCTGCCCTCTGCTCACTGCTCTCTGCTCACAATTGATTAGTGACCTGGTTTGGACATGACTTGCCAGATTTCATGTCAGTGTCCCTCCACGACACAACTTCAACTGTCTGTCTTCTGGACTCTGGTACCACAACCTCAGTCCAGTCAAAAACACCGTGTGCCAGACGCTTGCACACACATGCACATACTCACACATGCACACACCCACACACACACACGCACACCCACACACACGGTGCCAAACATGCACACACCCACACACCCACACGCACAGCACACACCCACACACGTGCACACACACCCACACACCCACACAGGAACACACCCACGCACACCCACACACATGGTGCCACACATCCACACATGCACACGCCCACACACACCCACGGGCACACACCCCCACACGCGCACGCACACATACACACCCACACACCCAGACATGCACACACCCACACACACCCCCACATACGCACACACCCACACACACACACCTACACACACCCACACACGCACACACCCACAGATGCACACACGTGCTCACTGGGTCGGGGGACGGGACACACATTACCTAGGTCTGGGCCATCCTCTCCTGAGACATCGACTCACCCCTCACTGCTATTAAAACAATTCAGAATAGTCAGGTCTTTGATGGGTCTTCAATGGGTTAGCAGTAGCCATGTTTGGAATCAGAGACCAGCATATTTTTTGAACATGCATTCATTTTAAGCTCTTGATGTTTATCTCATAGTGTTTGACTTGGGCTCCTCTCAGAAACACAGGAACTGGTAGAAGTTTGAAGAAAGACTAGAAAGGGTGGGGATGGCATGATTAAATGTGGGCAAAGTCTGTGCACGTTTTCCAGAGGAGGAGGAGGAGGTGATGGTTTTGAAAGCTCTGTGGCAAAGCGGCAATAAAATACCACTAATTAAGGAATGAATCATCAGGACAAAATCATTACGGGGAAGCCTTAGGTGAAAAACCTCACAAGTATTCCCAAGTAGAAAGTAGCTGAAAGGGACTTGTCTCTGAAATGTTTATACGCAATGAAATCCTACATTCACCCACCAACAGTTTCCTGTAATCAAGTTAAACTAAACTCATACAACACAAATCAGTTCTTTTTCCATGTCCTCTTACACCTTGAATCACAATCCAGACGGGCTTTGGTGGCCCTGGAGATGGACAAACAGCAGCTGCACCACAGGACAGCAGGCAATAGGCGGGACTCACCAGTCGTGGGACAAGTGGGTATTAAGTAACTTCAGTAACCATTGACTGCAAAGTCCCAGGAAGTGTGTGCGGAGCTGACCTCTGCACTTCCCAACGATCCAAATACTTTCATGTCCATAGCTCCATTCTGCCACTCTCTGGAGCATTCTCACCCCCAGCTGCCCTTTCCCACCAGGAAAAAAGAAAACCCGTCATGGTACGGATGTATATCCAGGGGAGACACAAGATGTCATGGGAGGTTCCCATGGGAGGTTCACAGGATTTGAAGGACGGCCACACCATTGCATGAATCCTGGTTCTGCCACTTCTTAGCCATGAGATCTGGCAAGTAGCTTAACCTCCCTGAGCCACAGGTCCCTTGTCTATATAACTGCAGTGATAATCCCTACCTAGTGGGATTGACGTGAGGATTGGCTAAGGTGATGCATGCAGCAGATTGAGCACCACGGCTGAAGGGCGGCCGGGAGCACTCTTACTTACCTGTACTGGCACACAAATGGGTGGTGAGTGCTGTTCCTACCAGGCCGGTCGAAGAAGCAGGTTCTCTTCTGAGAAGGACACCGTTGAGAAAGTGTGGGTGGAGGACAGAGGGAATCTCAGCAGTCATTGGACCCACCTCATACTGTGTGCTATCCACTTACCCATTCTGCCAAATTTCTGTGTGTGCATCTCGTAGGAAGCCTTGTCTCCACAACCTGAGCACAAACTGGGCAGAAGTTGTCTCTGCATCTCCCAGAGCCTGCCTGCCTCTTCAGGTCTTATTCATTCATTCATTCATTCATTCATTCATTCATTCACACTGATTTCTTCACAGGAGGTTGTTCAGGGCAAGGATGGAGGGCACAGCCTCTAAAGTCAGTCCACCTGGAGCCCAAATCCCAGCTCTGGCAACTTTTGGCAACTAACTTCATATTCTGTGCCTCATCTCCCTCAATGGTTACTGTGAGCACAAAACAAGAGTGCCTGTAAAGTGCTCAGTAACAGGGGAACGGACACTTGGGAGTACCTGATACAGGGTGGCTGTCATCGCTAACACGGTGGGTACCCGGTGAATACACAGTGAAGATGCTACTAAAGGAATCCATTGCTGTGACAGTCACTTCCTCCCAGGACAGTCACTGTCTCCTGCTCCACAAAGGAGTAACCTATTTCTGGCTTTGATTTGCTGGCTGATAAATACTCAGTAATGTAAACTATGCCCAGTCTAAATGCGCTAGGAAGTCACTGCAAAACTCGACTTTAGCACATTGTAGATGAACTTTTCAAAAGCCTCCTCTGGGGCAAACACTACGCGTGCATATGTAATGGCGGCATTCTTTCCACATGTCTCGAAGCCATCCCCTGTGATTCGGATTTTCACATAACACCCTCCATTCTCAATGGAATTTCTGAGGAATGAGGTCAACTCATGGAGTTTTGCAAAATCCTTCCACCATTACCAGTCAAAATCTCCTGCCTTCAAGATGCCTAAACTTACATTTCTTCTTCTTTTTTTCATTTTTTAATTTTTTTTCTTTTTCTGAGACAGGGTCTCTCTCCATTGCCAAGGCTGGAGTGCAGTGGTACAATCATAGCTCACTTGTAACCTCAAACTCCTGGCCTCCTGCCTCAGCCTCCTGAGTACCTGGGACTACAGGCATGCACCACCATGCCTGGCTAATTTTAATTTCTCCTTCTCCTTCTTCTTTTTTTGGTAAAGACAGGGTCTCACCATGTTGCCAGGGCTGGTCTCAAACTTCTAGCCTCAGGCAGTCCTCCAGGCTCAGCCTCTCTAAAGGCTGGGATTACTGGCATGAGTCACCATGCCCGGCCTAAAATTAAGTGTCAGAGGCAATAGTGGAAACGATATCTGCATTCTGTCGGCAATTAAAATACTATTCTTGTCTGAAGAGAGTGCGCTGCTTAGCCATTCTTGCAGCCAACACTTCGGAGACCACAGGTGCCCTGGAAGATGCAACATAGAGCTCTCAGCTTCCCCGAGAACCACAGGGCAGCATCCCCGGGGAAGCTCTGATGGGTCCTGGTGAAGGATGGTGCAGCTGGAGGTGATGGGAGCAAAGGATGGACATTAATTTATTTCCTCCTCAGTGGGTTTCTCTCAACAAACGACCCTGCCCTGCTGTCAGATGGGCACTGTGACATGCCACTGCATGCTTGCAGGACACGTGATGAGCGGATCTAATTAGTTATAAGATTGGGAAAACCATGGTGGGGTGCAATCGTAATCCTAGCTACCTGGGAGGCTGAGGTGGGGGCATTGCTTGGGCCTGGGAGGTCAAGGCTGCAGTGAGCCCTGCACTCTTGCTGGGGTGACAGAGAGAGACCCTGAAAAAAAAAAAGATAAAAATTGGGAAAACTGAGCTGACTTTAAGAGAAAGCAGAAGCAGAATCAGTCTGGATTCTACCACGTCAGCCCTAGGTCACCCAGGCTTCTCAACAGAGTCCCCACATGTTGTTTTGGAATTTGAGGTAAGAATATGTTTTCTTCCAGGACTGCTTCACCTCCAGAGGGAAGGCAACTATCAGAGGCTTCATGTCCTCACTGAAAAGCCAGGCTCTTGGTTTCCACTCAGCTTCTCTCACGAGAATGGAAGGAAGATTACACCCCAGAACGCCTGTGCTGGGTCCTCTGCAGCCCTCCCAGGGACAGTGAGTTGTTTCCCCTAGCTCTCCATCAGCCTCACTCCTTACTATTTGTTTTCGGTCACTATTTGCATATCAGGCAGAATCCTTTCCCATCTTTGCACCTCCTGTTCTGAGCATGGCATGTGTGCAGAAGCTTTCCAGAAAAGTCTGTTGATTTGAACCATGATGGCCAAAATAACTCTGGACAGGGTGGCACCGTTTTGAGCTGCGTGTAAGCACACATGTGTGCAGGTGCACATACCCACACCGATACACGGGCATGCACACCACGGCCTGAGGTCCTCTGCCGCTGGAAGAAAAGGCAGGTTGGCATCTGTCATCGTTGCATTTCTTTGACAAAACATCAACCTTCTTCTCACAACTTTTCTTTGCCAAGTGACTTTTCAAGGACCTTCCCAAACTGACATCTCTGAAATCTTTCTTTTTCTGTACTCTAAGGGGTGGGCGAACTTTCTGCAAAGGCTAGGGTGGTAAATATTTTAAACTATATGGTCTCTGTCCAACTTCTCAACTCCTGCATCGTATCACAAAAGCAGCCACAGACAGCCTGTAAAAAATGGGGGTGGCTGTGTTACAAGGAAACATTACCAAAACAGGGGACTCCAGGCTGGATTTGACCCTTGGACCACATTTTGCAATCTCTGATTTAAGAGAAAAATGACCCAGAGAAGAGAAGATGTGCTAATTCTGGAAAAACAAAAACAAAAACAAAACAAAAAAAACAAACCTCTGGGCCAGGCGTGGTGGCTCACGCCTGTAATCCCAGCACTTTGGGAGGCCGAGGTGGGCAGATCACCTGAGGTCAGGAGTTTGAGACAGCCCGACCAACATGGTGAAACCCTGTCTCTATTAAAAATACAAAAATTAGCCAGGCACTTGTAATCTCAGCTGCTAGGAGGCTGAGGCAGGAGAATCACTTGAACCTGGGAGACAGAGGTTGTAGTGAGACGATACCATGCCACTGCACTCCAGCCTAGATGATAGAGCGAGACTGTCTCAAAAAGAAAAAACAAACAAACAAAAAACACTCTGAAAGTCATCTAGAGCCTTTCTTGACTTCCTAATTCTATCTTAGGCTGCAGGCAGGGAAAAAAAAAAAAGGTTTATGAGGAGGAGAGATCTTGAATCATGATTTTTCAGTGGGTGGCAACCTGAATCACAGGTGCACATTTCAGAGACTTTCATCCTTTTCTGTGCCACCACTGAGAGAAGAAGCCTAGCTCCAGGTCTGCACTATTGGGTTTTTATCCACTTTTGTGCCTCTGTTTTTGCTGCTTGAGAACTTAGTTCTCCCAGTTCAGGTGACCCCAAAGTGCCCGTTCACTCCTTCACTGACACAGCCAACCCTGAGATTCTTCACACCTCGGTCATACCACCCGCACATCCCACCCTGTCTTCCTAGTGACAAACAGCAGCTGGCACACAGGTGGCTATGTAGGCCACACCAGTGCAGTCTTAAGGAAGGTATAAAGGATTTGACTGTGTTGACTGTTTCTTTCAATACAAAATAGATAAGGCTGAACACAGGTAAGATCATGGAAAGCTGGAACTGCAACCCCTGGTCTGCAGGCAGGTTAGAAAGATTCCAAAAAACAAAATCGGGTGGGGATAGAAGAGGAGTTACAGGCCCACCCTGAAAAAAATAAAACCAAAAGAGGGGAGACAGGTAGACAGCTGGACCTACCAGAAACAGTAGTGATTAGACTGCTTCATTTTGTGTTTTTCCAGCACACAGGATAGAAATAATGGGCTGTTTGCAAACAAAATGCAGAAACTGGAAATGCTCAACCTAAAGCTATAATTAGTGTGTCAGTGCTGTGTGTCTGTGATATGTGCACAAAGAGAAATGCATTCCTGCTGAAGGGACTTCCTCTTCCACCTCTGTCTTCTCTTTGCAAAATTGGCTTGAATCACAGGAGGCAAGGGGAAGTAAGTCTGCAGTAAGTCCTTTGGTAAGCCTGACTCATGACATGCTCCTATCTACTGAGCTGTAAGACCATGAAACGTTTTATCACCAACTGTTCCAAACATTGATGCAAGTAATAACCCCAACAAAATTATAGCGTGGGGAGATTTAATTCTATGCCCTTATTTGTAGGCTAAGGACGCTAACATCTCTCCTAACTGGGCTCACGTCATATTTGATGAATGTTCAAACATGAGTGTACCAGTAGCATTTTCTCTGAAATTGCAGTGATTACTCATTAGTAAATGAGGGCCCTTGGGCAAAGAATCTGGTCAGAAGACTGAGTCCCGTGTTACCAACAGATGCAGGAAATTAATCCGGAAAGTTTGGTACTTAGAATGGGGATTAAAGTGCTGCAATTAACATGTACATGTACAAGATTACATCCATTACTACTCCTAAAAAATTTTATTTGACCTTTCTATTATGAGCGTCTACTCTAGGCTAAAAGAAATTAAAAGCACATGAAGATGTAGCTATATGCCTTCAGGAATACACAGGGAAGGAGGGAGCAAGGGAGAGTGAGACAGCGAGAGCCAGGGAGCAAAGAACCTGGCTGCCATGTGCGTCTAGAGCCTGGAATTTAGTCTTGGATCAGTCACTGACGGGCGGACCTTGGACACATTGAGCAACCATCTGGTTCTTCTTCCTATCTGTACAACAGCAATGCTCTAGGAAGGCTGCTTCGGTTTGTTGGAGTTTTCTTACAGCCTAAATAGCCGCTGCCTTTATATCCCTATAAACTGGCATGGGTAGTGTCTTTCTAGCACCTAGAGCACAGCCTGGGGTTAAGAGAGAGGGCTTGAGAACGACACTGCCGAGGGGTTTGAGTGGGCTCCGGCACTTGCTATAAGACCTTGGCCAAGATCCTCAAGTTCTCTGAATCTCAGTTTCCTCACTTGTCAAATGAATAGTTGAGGATCAAATGTGTGGAATCATATAAAACCCTTAGGACAGTTCCTGGCCCATAGGAAGCACTCACAAATATTAACTGGCATCATTTACGTAAAATGTCCTTGGGGGAAATGCAGGTATTTATATAATACCTTAAAAACTTGAAAAATGATTTGGCTCTTTCTAGAAAAGAAGGAGATCCATACCTATGACTTAGCAATCAATTCCATTTCCACCCTAGAGAAACTTATCTGTGTGCAAAAGGGAGCATGATCAACAATGCTCGTTGTAGCAACATTTGCAAGAGCAAAATACTGGAATGACCATACATGAGAGAGTGAATAAATAAGTTGTGAAATCTCCTATGATGTAATACTATTAAAATGGATCAATCTCAAATATATAATATTGAATGAGAAAAGAAATGTTGCAATAGGAAACAAAGTATGATACCATTTGTACACTTATGTCATCAAAGCATGAAAGCACACACTCAGATGATAAGCACCATATTCAAAATCAAAGCCACCTGTGTTATAGATGAAAGGGGGATGAGATAAAAGGAGAAATGCAGAGGTGTCAACTGTTCTGTCATGTTTTATTTCTTTAAAAACAGCAGGAAAAAAGTGCCGAAACATTAAGATTTGATAAAATCTTTCTAATATCATTCTATTTATATTTTGCATGCATACAATTTTGTTCAATTTGAAAAATACCTCTGAGCTGTCCTTTTGTTCTGATTTGCGATATTTGTCCTCTGTGATGTTCCGCTAACATTAGGTCATATATGTGGATGTGGAATATTGTTTTGGGTTTTTTTCTTCCAGCTCTCCTTTCTGGGACAATTCATTCTAAAAGCTTTTCTTATAACTCCTAATGGACTAAAAATTCTCCTACTAGCTCTGCTAACCAACACTGTACATCAATTATGTTTAGATAATAGGTCATTCTCTCATTAAAAAAGCATTTATGGGCTGGGTGCAGTGGCTCATGCCTGTAATCCCAGCACTTTGGGAGGCCGAGGCGGGCAGATCACCTGACGTCAGGAGTTCGAGCCCAGCCTGGCCAACGTGGTGAAACCCCATCTCTACTAAAAATACAAAAATTAGCTGGGCATGGTAGCATGCAGCTGTGGTCCCAGCTACACAGGAGGCTGAGGCAGGAGAATCGCTTGAACCCAGGAGACAAAGGTTGCAGTGAGCCAAGATCATGCCACTGCACTCCAGACTGGGCAACAGAGGGAGATTCTGTCTCAATAAATAAGTAAACAAATAAATAAAAATAAAAATAAAAAATGAAAAAGCATTTATGTAGCCCCTTGGGTATGCATAGCTCTGTGCCAGGCACAACAGCTGGCAAACAATAACAAGGTTACCTTATAAAAGGAGGCCAGCTACAGCAGTTTTGTTAAAATTTAAACTATTTTGGTAACTCAATTTATATTTTAAAATAATAGAATCCTAGAGTTCTTAAAAATCACTAAGAAAAACCCAAATATCCTAATGGAAGGAAGACTAAAAGCCACAGAAAAAAATTTAGCAGGATAATTTAAATGGCTGATAGACACATGAAAACATTCAACCAAATGAGCAAGAAAAGGAAACAACTTTTAAAGTGAGGTATAATTTTAAACTATCAAATACGCAAAGATCGCATTCAGTATTGGAGTGGGTTCCAGAAACTGGGCATTCATATAGTGCTGGTGTAGAATTTGGCATTGTGTATTAAGTGCCTTAAAAATATCAAAACACCTTGACTGCTAGAATTATATACTAAGGAAATAAACGCAGATGTGTACAAAGATTTGTGTGCAAACATATTCATGGCAGCATCATTTATCACAGCAAAACACTTAAATATACAACGATAAGGTATTCATTAAATAAAATATAATCCACATAATGTAATGATCTAGAGTCTTCACGGATATTTATTTTTCAGTTTATACTAAATGACACAGGTAAATGTTCAAGAGATAAGGTTAGTGAAGAAAATGTTGCATACACACAGGAATCTAATTCTGCAAAATAACTACAGATGTATGAAAAAAGATGAGAAGGTAACACACTAAAAAGCCACTAATGGTTATCCCTGACTCCTGGAATCATGGGTGTCTTTTTTCTTTATACCCTGATACAGTCTCAATTTTTTTTAATGGGCCAGATTTGTAATTAGAATAAAACATAAATTATCAGATAATTACAGAAATTTAGATCTAGAAGTGGCTCTTCATTTTGATAGACGGGAATAGGTTAAGGGAAGATCATACCCAGTGCTGAGTGGCTGAATGTCCTCCACTGGGCAGCCATGTCCTGAGGGAGACGCAGAGAAGACCAGCAAGGCCTCTCTGGCCTCAGGGGTGCTGGCAGAACAGAACTTCCCAACCAAGAGTCTAGCATTGCTCAGGGCAAGGGTCAGCCTCTCTCACTTCTTCACACTCTCTGGCTTCTTGAATATTCATCCATCTGTATCTAATAAGGCTCTTCTCAATGACGGGAGAAGAAGGCAGCTAAAGAGAGCTTTTATTTCTCTTGGCATCGTCACCTTAAGCATTTGCTTATACTGAAACTGTAGGTAGAAACTAATGCAGTATGTTTTTTTGTGTGTTGTTTTTTGTTTGTTTGTTTTGTTTTTTTCAGACAGATCTCACTCTGTCACCAGGCTGGAGAGCAGTGGTGTGATCTCGACTCACTGCAACCTCCGCCTCCCGGGTTCAAGCGACTCTCCTGCCTCAGCCTCCCGAGTAGCTGGGACTATAGGCACGTGTAACCATCCCCAGCTAATTTTTGTATTTTTAGTAGAGATGGGGTTTCACCATGTTGGCCAGGATGGTCTCGATCTCTTGACCTCGTGATCTGCCCGCCTCAGCCTCCCAAAGTGCTCGGATTACGGGCGTGAGCCACCATGCCCGGCCTGTAGTATGGATTTTAAAAAGTGATAGACGCTTAGGGGTTCAGAAATCATTAAATTCAATTAAAATCGAGCAAGGGGTGGTGCAGGGAGAGATCGGATACCAATGCAAACATGACACAGAGCCAGCCTGCAGAGGCGCAAACAACAGACCAGCAAGTGGTAGCAAAGGGCTTGCAAGCAGTAGGCTGATGAACAAGTATTCAATTTTTAGGTGCTTTAGAAAAAGCTATGCACACACCACCTACCATGTGTTTCTCCTTGAGCTCAAACATTTGTCCCAAATAGTTTGTGATCATCCAAAACTGAGACTCCAGCTTTACAGAGGGGATATGAGATATCTGGGCATTTATCCACATTGGGAGACAAAGCTCAGCCTGAGAGTTATTTTCATTTAAAGAGAGTTCCCACAATTCTTACAATAGAAAGGAGAGGAAAAAGGAGAAAGAAAAAAAATGGGGTAGGAGAGAGGACTTCTCTTCTCCTGCTGGTGGCTCTCCTGCCAGAGAACTAGGGCAGTTTCTGGGGCAGATCAGATCCTTTCCATTGAGGCCTCCTCAATAGTTTTCTCAATGTTTGCCTGAAGCAGGAGTCTGCTGACAAAGTGCTTTCAAATGCATTGTATGAAGGCTCCCAATGGAAGGTATCAAAGGAAAAGGCTAAGGTTTGTTGGCCAGGGCCTTCCTGCTCTGTTACTGATGCCTCTGAGCACCTCAGAGGGAGACAAAGGGAAGAAAACCTGCTGGACCAAAATGTGCTTTTTTTTCTTTCCCATTCACATATCAAGATGTGCAGAGAAGCCGTGAGTGCATTTGGAAGGGGCTGCTCAGGCCACAGCTGAGCCATATTTTATTTCCATCCTTCTTTGCATTTACCTCCCTGGATGCTCAGACATAGAAACTAGAACTACTTAGAAGAAAAGTAAGAAGGCAATGTTAAGTGCTGCTGTATTACGTGAAGGAAGCCAGGCTGATTAAGTTAGAGGCTATAAGGTTATGGCAAGAATGACAAAAGGGAAAGATAAGGAGACTCTGTATAGTGCAGTAAAACAGCTCCCTTCTTCACTCATAAAACTTCTAGTAGCTCTAAAATGGAGCCCTAGGATCTCATTAAAACCAATATTTCAAATATTGAGTGGGCTGAATCACCCTACTTCAACTGATTGGCCTTCCCTCAGCTTCCACGCTTCTTATTTGTATGAGTGGCATTCAGCCTGAAGGTTATTGAAACCCGCCCTTCCCAGGTCCTTAGGTGGGTTTGTGGCCCATGCCCTGCTTGAACATGATGAGAATATTGACTATAATTTTTATTTATACCATTTCAGAATGACATCATTTCTACATGGAAGTACGCTGGGCTGTTACTTTAATATCAGGATTTAGAAGTAATAAACATTTTTAACTTAATGATCATAATTCTTTCAACTGTTGCCAGAGTCCTTGGGCCCTGATTTCATCATTGGTAAACTGAAGACTTGTTAGTGTCTTATCTTTTCCCCTATCGTTTGTAATCCTGATAACAGACAAGGCAGAATCCATGCCAAAAAGTATTACGACAAATAACACTGTAATAGAAAAAGTCACAATTTACAGCAGAAGTAAAACACTTGTGAATATTTTTATACCAGATACATGGCAACCGCTTTCAAAAATGCAAAACCACATGAGCTGCAAGAAGACATAGACAGAAACACACTCAAATTAGGAGCCTTTACCCCAGGGCTGGGACTATAGTAAGGTGAAAAGGCACTCTTCTTGGTCACATAATTCAAGGTGATGGCAAAAACTCAGGAACCAAAATCAATAATCTTTTAATGCAATACTTTAAAAAATAAAAATAAATGCAAAAAATTGTGATGAATAAAATGTGAAAATTTTATATTTTATATAAAGACAGGATGCAGTATTACTGATTTTTCCTTTTGCCTCAGGCTTCTGTATGGCTCTTAATAATGCTGCTTGAAATTGCCACTCTTAGTCCAAGGTAATTCAGGGAGATTTTTTAAAAAAATAAAGCTATAGAAGATCTAAATAACATGATCAATAAAACAGATCTAGTGTTCTGGGACAACCAGATTTCTACATGCAAAGGAATGAAGTTGGGCCCCTACCTCACACCATACACAAAAAATTAACTCAAAATAGGTAAAGAACCCAAATATGAGAGCTATAACTATAAAACCCTTAGGAGAAAACATACAGGTAAATCTTTGCAACTTAGGATTTGACAACAGATTATTAAATATGACACTAAAAGCACAAGCAACAGAAGAAAAGATAAACTGGACTTCACTAAAATTAAAAGCTTTTGTGCACCAAAGGACATTATCAAAAAAGTGTAAAGACAAACTATAGAATGGAAGAAAATATTTACAAATCATATATATGATAAATGTTTGTATCCAGAATATATAAAGAACTCCTAAAACTCAACAATATAAAGATAATGGACGAAGGATTTGAATAGACTTTTTTTTCCAAAGAAGATATTCAAATGACCAGTAAACACATGAAGAGATGATCAACATCATCTCTTAGTCACTAGGGAAATGCAAATCAAAATCATGACATACCACCTCATATCTAATAGAATGGCCATAACTTTTTCTTTTTTTAAAAAAAAGGAAAATAAATACTGTCGAGAATGTGAAGAAACTGGAACCCTGGTATATTGCTGATGGGTAAAATGGGCAGCCGCTGTGGAAAACAGTTGGACGGTTCCTCAAAAAGCTAAACATACAAGTGTTGTATGACTCGGCAATTCCACTCATAGTTATAAACCCAAAAGAACTGAACACAGAGACTCAAAGAGATATTTGAACACCATCGTTCATAGCAGCATTACTTACATAATAGCCAAAGATGGAAACAGTCCAAGTGTCTATGAACAGATAAATAAATAAAAAAGTATGGTATATATAATACATACAATGATATGCTGTTATTCAGCCATACAAAGGAATAAAATTCCGATGCACACTACAACATGGATAAACCTTGAAAATATTATGCTAAGTGAAATAAATCAGACACAAAAGGTTAAATATTGTATGATTCCACTTTTATGAGTAGGCAAATCCACAGAAACAAAAAGTGGATTGGAGGCCACCAGGGGTTGAGGGGAGGAGAGTGGGGAGTTATTACTTAATGGTTACAGAGATTGTTTGGAGGGATGAAAAAGTTTTGAAAACAGGTAATGGTGATAGTTCTACAACAATGTGAATGTAATTAATGCCACTGAATTGTACAACTAAAAATGCTTAGAATCGCATATCTTAGGTTAAATGTATTTTGCCACAGTAAATAATTTTTTTAAAAAGATAGATCTTAGCCAGGCATGGTGGCTCATACCTGTAATCCCAGCACTTTGGGAGGCCGAGGTGGGTGGATCACCTGAGGTCAGGAGTTCAAGACCAGGCTGGCCAACATGGTGAAACCCCATCTCTACAAAAAATACAAAAATTAGCTGGTCATGATGGCGGGTGCCTGTAATCCCAGCTACTCGGGAGGCTGAGGCAGGAGAATTTTTGAACCCAGGAGGCAGAGGTTGCAGTAAGCTGAGATTGTGCCACTGCACTTGCCTGGGTGAGAGAGCAAGACTCCATCTCAAAAACCAAAAAAAAAAAAAAAAAAAAAAAAAAAAGATAGATCTTCTGGATACATATTATACTTTGTACCCAAAGGAGAATACACCTTCTCAAGTGAAATTCATAAAAATTGGCTATACATTAACTAACTCAGAGCAAATCTCAATAAATTCATAAATTAAAAAATAAAAACAATATTATCTGATCATAATAGAAGACAACCAGAAATAAATAAATGTAATAAAACAAAGAGGCTGTTACCCTCAGAAATTTAAAAATTTGATATTAAGTAATTATTGGGTAAAGGGAGAACTACAAACCCAAATTGCAGAATTTCTAAAACGAAATGTTAATAAAAACACTATCTATCTGAATACATAAAATACAATTAAAGTACTGAACAGTGGGACATTTATGGCCTAAATACTTATATTGATAAAAATTTTAAAAAGCATTAAATTCCAAATTCTAAAAGTTACAAAAAAGAATAACATAAAGCAGAAGGAAGAAAATAACAAACTAGAAGTAGAAATAAATGAGGTAGCAAATAGAAAAACGGTAGAATAAAAAATAAGTCAAAATGTCTCTTCAAAAAAAAACAAAAGTCAAAGTTTCCGTTGTAGGAAATGTAATGGCCGTGGGCACGAGGAATTCATTTCCATAGGAAGACACACCCCAAAGCAGTTGAAATCTAGCAAGAAATTACTTAGCAGCATATCTATCTTAAAAATTCATCTTAAAATTCATCTTAAAATATCTTAAAAATTCATCTTAAAATATCTATCTTAAAAATTCATTCACATTTCACATTGTTTTCCATACTATATCTCTTTATTTTTTACTGTTCAAAAAATGGTTCCCCTTCCCCCCACCACCAGATCTTCAAAGAAAAGCTAATGTCCTACGAAGATGTGCCATAGTGTCTTTTAGTATAAAAAACACTTTTGACTCTAAATCCTACCACAGAATACGCCTAACCCAAGAGGCGCAACATCACCAGTCTCATTTTCCCAATGAGAAGATGAAGTCACAATGAAATGGAATTATTTACCAAAGGCACCAACAATGAATGGTAGCAGAAATGGAACAACAGCCCAGTACCCATCATTAGTCTCACGCAGCCGCAGGCTGGCTGGACAGTACCCTAAACCTTATAGAAAGGCTCTTTGAGAAAGGATTAGATCATCTTTCCCATCTAATTAACATGACTCCTTTCTCCCTCTAGCATTAAAACTGAGTGGAAATGATTCATTCCACCTTTCAGAACACCTGAGGCAACAGCGAAAATCTTTTCAAATTCTAATCCCAGTCAACGAATGTCAGTGGCAGGCAAGTCCCTCAACCCTGTGAATCCAGTGATTCGGAAGGAATCATTATGTTGTTTCCAAGCTAGACGGAGAGAGCAACCTACAGATGGAACCACAAGGCCAACAGATAAAAGTAAGAGAAAATGGCCCCCAAAATACCGAGTCCAGGCAACAGTTGGTTGCTGCAAGTGGGCCAACGGAAAGAGAACAAGCAAACTCACCACGGGTACCACATTCCACCCAGATACACACCAATTGTAGTTCAGACGACAATGCTGGTGCTTCCCAAGGCAAAGCACGCACATCTAAAGACCACATTGATCCACTTTCCTCTCCTCATCAATAAATAACACATCTACCACATATGGACATTCCTCATTCCACGTAGGGTAAGTCCACTTGCAATGAATCCATTAGCAAAACACATTGGCAATAATTGCATAAGATAACAAGCAGACTGTAAAAAGCACACAGTATGACGATGTCCTTGGGACAAACTGTCATTTAAAATTCATGTTTTTGTCTTTTGAGTTTGTCTATTGTTCCTCTCCAGCAGTGAAGTATCAAGGCTATTTTACCTCCTCATTCAAATGATGGTTTTAAAGTAATCTTGATTACAGAATTCCATAATCTAGACTAAAATAGAAAAGCCATTCTAATTTCTGTCTCCCGTTTTGTCAAATGTAAAGAGCTTCGGGCTAGCCAGGTGTTTGGTGAACACACTTCCCAGCTCATATTCACTTAACTGATTAACAGTACAAAGTGGAAACGCACACGTCAGCCACAGAGAAGGTGACACAAATGGAGCTCTTGAGGTGCACTGAATCATGGAAATCAGGTGTGGGAAGAAAATACAGCCCCTCCTGATCCAGCGACAATGCAAGTGATTACTAGACAATTCATAAACAAATGCAATTCACAGGCCAGCCCTCTAAAGCCTCCTCCAAAAAAAAAAAGTTACTGGGAAAATGCATTTCCTTTGTGGTGTGTCCAGCTTGTTTCTTGGCTCAGGCTTGTAAATTGCTCTCACTGGTTTTTAGAAATGCCCTGGTTCTTTTCACCCCACTGTTCTCAGCCTACGCAAATCACTTCCATACGACAAGGATCTGTCGGGATATAGAGAGCTCAATAAAAGCTAGATCTTTGATGCCGATGGCAGCTGCAGACTCCAGCTCCTTCCCATTATCGTGATAGACTGTCTGTTGCTGTGTTCATTTTGGTTCCAAATCCACATCATGTTATTCTGAACTCGCAGGCCAGAAGCCGCAACACAGAATAAATCCTCAAGTACTGACGTGCTAAAGTAAACAGTCTCCTTGTTTCAGGCATTAGAGGTTCTCTACTGAGCATGCTATGGCTGTGAATATTTTGTATTGCTTTAAGGATTTAATAGTTTCTGGGTGCTTCTGGTTTTAAAAATCACAAGGACAGCCAAAGCCTAGTAGACCCCAATATCTGGACTCCATAGATGTTCAAGAAATACATTTTTGAGTAAATGTTTAGTTATCAAAGTTATTAAAATTATTAAAATGCAAAGTAGTTGTGTTATGCAAGAGGATTCATCACTTTGACTATAGGTTGTGATGCCAATCCCAAATCTACATGACTATCAAACTCCAGACCAAACTGAGAGGAGTTAAGACAGTGTTTCCAGAACACACCATGTGGAAAGAGCTGCAAGGCGTCCTCCAGGCTTTTGAGCATCAGCCATAACTCACAAGGTCCATGTTAATTCCTTCCTACTAAGATTAGTCCTTATCTTAGTCCAGTCCTGCTGCTATAACAAAATACCTTGGACTGGGTAAGTTAAAAACAACAGAATTCAAGCCGGGCATGGTCGCTCATGCCTGTAATCCCAGCACTTTGGGAGGCCCAGGTGGGCAGATCACCTGAGGTCAGGAGTTTGAGACCAGCCTGGCCAACATGATGAAACCCCATCTCTACCAAAAAAATAAAAAAATCAGCCAGGTGTGGTGGTGTGCACCTGTAGTCCCAGCTACTTGGGAGGCTGAGGCAGGAGAATCGCTTGCACCTGAGTGGCGGAGGTTGCAGTGAGCCAAGATCATGCCACTGCACTCCAGCCTGGGCAACAGAGTGAGACCCTGTCTCAAGAAAAAACAACAACAAAAAAAACATACAAATAAAATGGAATTTATTGGTCACAGCTGGAGGCTGGGAAGTCTAAGATCAAAGTGCCAGCAGATTTGGTGTCTGGCAAGGGCCATTACTAATGGATAGTGCTTTCAACGTGTCTTCCTATGGCAAAAGGTGATGCAGGGCATGTGAGCCCCAAAGTGGGGCGTAGCCCACAAGAGTTCTTGGCTTCACCCAGTAAAACTTCAAGGGCGAGCTGGTGGTAGGGTAGCAGAAAACAGCTTTATTAAAGAGGCGGTGTCACAGCTCCAGTAGTGTTACAGGTCCATAACTGGTCCTGCAGAGCAGGGCTACCCCATAGGCAGTGTGCTGAGAGTGGCAGCTCAAGGCAGTTTTGCAGTCATATTTATATTTACTTTTAATTACATGTAGATTAAGGGGTAGTTTATGCAGAAATTTCTAGGACAAGGGTAGGAACTTCTGGGTCGTGGGGTCACTGCCACGGAAAGGGGCGGTAACTCCTGAGTGTTGTTGGGACAATAGTAAACGGACATGGCACACTGGTGGGCATGTCTTATGAAAAGCTGCTTTTGCCCCTTCCCTGTTTTATCTAGTCCTCATTTTGGTCTGGTGTCTGAGCCCAGCTCCAGAGTCCAGCCCCGCCTCCCACCTCGAAGGGAGGGACAAGTTCCTGCTGGCCTCTTTGATAAGGGCACTAATCCTATTCATGAGGATGGAGCCCTCGAGACCTGATCCCCTCCTAAAGGCTCCATCTTTTAATACTATAGCATTGAAGATCAAGTTTCCCATATGGGAATTGTAGGGGCACACCAACATTCAGACCATAGCAGTCCTTATTAAGCACTATGAGTTCTCCTCCCAGTACGAAGCATATTCCTATGCACTTTGTAGATATGCAAAACAAAAAAGTTGGATTGGATTGAATTAGAACATTAAGACTAGACCATTACCCATGAGTCCTTAGCACCATCAGTCTCAAGTGACTTTGTGCAAAGCACCCTAAAGCACCGCAGAAGATGTTAATTCAGATGGGCCACGGGCACCACAGCAGCAGCAAGCACACCAGGAAGGCACCAGCTTGAGAGGAGCCAGCTCCACCCACCACACAGTGAGGGGAGGAGGCAAAGCCAAAACAGAACCAAGAGCTGCATCTGTAGGCAGGTTCATATGCAATCAATCCTTCAGATTATATCCTGAGAGTCTCTAGAGTCCATGGCCCACCTATATTTACAGAAGAGACCACTGGCTGTAATCAGAAACTATCTCTCCAAATATGAAAGAAAATGAAACTTACTTCCCAAATCATGGAACCTCCTTTTCTCTTTCAGGACCCACAGCAATGCTGGTGGGAACTCCCTAGTGATCACAGTAACGATTTGCTTCTCTATATAATGAGAGGGGCCAGAGTTCTATTTTGATGCTTTGGGGATTGGGGGAGAGCAGAATTATAATTGTATCAGACCCCTCCACCAGGGACCCTTTTCTATCATGAGATGAAGAGCTCACATAAGAGTTAACTGCCCTACAATAAACAGGTTTTGGAGTTATTCTTTCTATTACTCTTAAATCTAAAGGTTGCACTCTAGGTTCCTTTTAATTAAGCTCCAGAATTTCCATAATGACCAAAAGGAGATGGCCTTGGGGGCTAAAAACACACTTAGGAGTCTGTAGCCTGGGCCCTCAGACACGATGCCTTCCTGAGCCTATTGTAGAGCAGTCACCTACACAGACACTCTGTTTCTGAGGTCATGATGTCTGGGACAAATCACAGCTTCTTATACTTGGCTTAATTTTCTTATACTTTTTTGACTGACACTATATGAAATTTATCCAAACTCCTTGTATAGAAGCAGCCAAACCCAGTGTATACCTTAATATGGCCATGCGTCACAGAACAACGTTTTGGTCAATGACAGACCACATGCACAACTGTAGTCCCCAAGATGATAACACTGTATCTTTGCTATACCTTCTTTATGTTCATATATGTTCAGATATGCAAATACTTAGCACTGTCTTACAACTGCCTAAAGCGCTCAGTACAGTAACATGCTATACTGTTTATAGCCTAGAATGAATACGCTACATCATATAGCTGAGGTGTGCAGTAGGCTACACCATTTAGGCTTATGTTAAGTGCACTCTATGATGTTCGCACAATGACAGAATCACCTAACAATGCCTCTCTCAGAACGTGTATGTTATTAAGTGACAAATGACTGTATCTTTATGTGAGAAAAAGAAATGTGATGGGGTAAATGAAATAGTAATAGATGATGCCACTCAAATGAACACAGTCCCTGGAATTCATGATAAGAGTAATTTTGCAAGAAATAAGGGAGGGAAGGATGCTAATGGAATTGTTATGCTGGGGGCCCTGTGACTGGAGGAATGGAGTTCTGGGAGGAGAGCAGAGTGATGGGTGTAAAGGTAGCCACAAGCTGGGAGCCAGGCTTCCTCACCAGCCCTGTGGCAGGGGCTTATGGACACCTGGGAGAGCAAGGCGGATACTCGGTGACCAGCGTAGCTGGGCATTTAGATTCTTCTGGAGGGATCTGTGAGTATACACTATGCTTATGATCTATTTGACCTATTATTATGGAAAAATTTAAACATATACAAAAATAGAATAGCCTATGTGTCTGTCACTCAGCTTCAACAATTGCCAATCCATAACCAATCTTATTCCATGTGTATCCCCCCCACGTGCGCACATGCATGCATACACACACATACACACGCGCACGCACGCACTTCTCTCTGTAGTATTACTGTGACAAAAGTCCCATAATCATAGCATTTCATCTGCCAGTATTTTAGTCTATATCTCTAAAGGATGAGGACACTTTAAAAATTATGATTCCATTAGCATCATATGAACACTTTCATTCACTGCATTTTAAAATTGTTATCCATGACCCTTTGATGGTGCTGCCAAGGCTGGGGTTGCCTGGAAGATGAGAGATTCTAGACCAGCCTGGCTGCGCTATAATTCATGATGACCATGCCCTGGATTTCATTCTATGCTTTCCAAACAGCCCAAGGAGGAGAAAAATGCCTTCTTGTCTCCGCTTAGTCACAAGAGTAAAACCATAACATGCTTGCTTCCAGAGTCTGCAGTGTTGATTGATGACAGATACGAAGTGAGCAAAGGACAGATTCTGCGATACATTACACAGGAATTTGGGGTTCATGTTCAGCTGGGATGTATGCGAGGGATCCCCAGACTCCCTAACACAGTTGACATTTCTTTAAAATGGAAGAAATCTGTTTCCACTTAAAATGTTGCTGCTATGGGTTTATACGCTATATAATTTTTTTTACACGTGGCTATTGGTTTCGAAGAAAGACACACGTGGATTTTGGAATCTGTGGCACTTCATGTCACAGCATGGTTTCAGATGGGAAGGATCCCTGTCTTGGGCAACCCCTCACGTCATTTTCCCTTTTTATTTTCCCACCTTGTGAGAGAATGTGGAAGTTTATGTAGGAAAAACTTCCCTTCATTCTCAAGAGACGTTAGTCTGCCTTGTCCTATTATATCAAACAACGTGAACTAACCCAAGCTTCTGTTTCATGCTGACTTGGTTTGAAGGTGGCTCATCAATCAAAGGCATCTGAACTCAGTGATGAAAACACCACCTCTAGAATTCAGGAAAATCAACACCCTTTCTGTGGAAATACAGCAGATGGTGTTGCTTGAAAATACCACGGGTATCTGGTTAATCTTGCGGCTCTTTTCCCATTTCCTCAGCACCCGCTGCCTCCTGCAAGGTACGGAGGAGGGGCGGGTGTAGGTCGCCACGCTGCTGCTTAGCCCAGACCCCTTCTGTGTGCTCCTTCAAGGGCTTCTGCTTCTAACAGTCAGCCTCTTTCTCAAAGGCCTGCCCTCAGGCCACTGGAGCCTGCTTGAACCTGCAGGCCTGGAGGGCCGCTGAAAAGGCCTGGGATTCACCACCCGCCTCCTCCCCACGGCAACCATCCTAGGTGAACAGTGAGGGAGATGACCTCTCCTCTAGGTGAACAGTGAGGGAGATGACCACTCTAGGTGAACAGTGAGGGAGATGACCGCTCTAGGTGAACAGTAAGGGAGATGACCGCTCTAGGTGAACAGTGAGGGAGATGACCGCAGGGTGAACAGTGAGGGAGATGACCGCAGGGTGAACAGTGAGGGAGATGACCTCTCCTCTAGATGAACAGTGAGGGAGATGACCGCTCTAGGTGAACAGTGAGGGAGATGACCGCTCTAGGTGAACAGTGAGGGAGATGACCGCTCTAGGTGAACAGTGAGGGAGATGACCGCAGGGTGAACAGTGAGGGAGATGACCGCAGGGTGAACAGTGAGGGAGATGACCGCAGGGTGAACAGTGAGGGAGATGACCGCAGGGTGAACAGTGAGGGAGATGACCGCAGGGTGAACAGTGAGGGAGATGACCGCAGGGTGAACAGTGAGGGAGATGACCTCTCCTCTAGATGAACAGTGAGGGAGATGACCGCTCTAGGTGAACAGTGAGGGAGATGACCGCAGGGTGAACAGTGAGGGAGATGACCTCTCCTCTAGGTGAACAGTGAGAGAGATGACCGCTCTAGGTGAACAGTGAGGGAGATGACCGCTCTAGGTGAACGGTGAGGGAGATGACCGCAGGGTGAACAGTGAGGGAGATGACCACTCTAGGTGAACAGTGAGGGAGATGACCGCAGGATGAACAGTGAGGGAGATGACCTCTCCTCTAGATGAACAGTGAGGGAGATGACCGCTCTAGGTGAACAGTGAGGGAGATGACCGCAGGGTGAACAGTGAGGGAGATGACCTCTCCTCTAGGTGAACAGTGAGAGAGATGACCGCAGGGTGAACAGTGAGGGAGATGACAGCTCTAGGTGAACAGTGAGGGAGATGACCGCTTTAGGTGAACAGTGAGGGAGATGACCGCAGGGTGAACAGTGAGGGAGATGACCTCTCCTCTAAGTGAACAGTGAGGGAGATGACCGCTGTAGGTGAACAGTGAGGGAGATGACAGCTCTAGGTGAACAGTGAGGGAGATGACCTCTCCTCTAAGTGAACAGTGAGGGAGATGACAGCTCTAGGTGAACAGTGAGGGAGATGACCTCTCCTCTAAGTGAACAGTGAGGGAGATGACCGCTCTAGGTGAACAGTGAGGGAGATGACCACTCTAGGTGAACAGTGAGGGAGATGACCGCTCTAGGTGAACAGTGAGGGAGATGACCGCTCTAGGTGAACAGTGAGGGAGATGACCGCTCTAGGTGAACAGTGAGGGAGATGACCGCTCTAGGTGAACAGTGAGGGAGATGACCGCTCTAGGTGAACAGTGAGGGAGATGACCGCTGTAGGTGAACAGTGAGGGAGATGACCGCTGTAGGTGAACAGTGAGGGAGATGACCGCTGTAGGTGAACAGTGAGGGAGATGACCGCTGTAGGTGAACAGTGAGGGAGATGACCGCTGTAGGTGAACAGTGAGGGAGATGACAGCTCTAGGTGAACAGTGAGGGAGATGACAGCTCTAGGTGAACAGTGAGGGAGATGACTGCAGGGTGAACAGTGAGGGAGATGACCGCTCACCTCTGCTGCTTCCCATCAGGACAAACCCCCAGAGTTCCCCAGTATGGTCAGGCTGAAGCTAAAAGCCGCTGTCCACCGGATTTTGCCTGAGAAAGGACTCATCTTTGGCTTGTCTCTTTCCCTTTCCTGCCTCCTTTACTCCCTTCCCAGTTTCCCTGAGGACCACATTCTTAATAAATCACTTGCAGAGAAATCCTCACTTCATCAAGATCTGCTTCTGGGGACCCCGACCTAAAACAGTAAGTCACCTAGGACCCCCATCATTGTTTTTGAGTCTTCTGGAAAACAGCATCCCTTCTCAACACACATGTGCCTGAACACCCGGTATAAGAAGATGCACAAGATTTCACACGTACCCAGAGCACGGACAGGAAGCAACTCTCGCCTCTTCCTCCATCTTTGCAGTAACAGAAAAAAGGCTACCAGGCGTGGGGACTTCAGCCTGCCACTTGTCAGCCGCATGCCCTGGGTATGTTTCTTAAGGAGTCTAGGGCTCTGTTTTCCATAGTATTGTTTTAAAAATGGTAATACTGACCTCATAGTTGTCAGGATTAATGAAATACCCTAAGCCAGTGCCTGGCACCTAGCAAGTGCTCACTGGCTACCCACTAAATCTCAGTCTGCATTTTGATACGATGCCCTGTAGATCAGAAGTTACCCAAAAGCCATCAAAGGGCCAGATGCCTCTGCAGTAGGGCTCCTCCCCTGCTTCCGTCTGCCAGTGTCTGTGGATTCTGTGCACTTCCAGGGACAGGAAGCAGATGCTATCATAACCGCATGAGAAGAATGGTCCCTCGCCAAGAAAAAAGGCCCTTGACGGACTTTACTGAGGCTTTATGAGCCATCAAATGCAACAGCTGTATAATTCCAGGGAATGTTTCCACCCAACGATTGTTAAGCATCAGGAGATATTTTATTATCTTTTCCCCTCTGTTTAATGTGTTGTTCACCTTCTGCCAGGATTGTTAGCCTTGATTATCAATCTCCACATAAAAATATAGGAATGTCCTATTCTTGTTCCTCTTCCCGGGGTCTGCGTTGCTCGTTACTGTCGGACTCACACACGTTAGCCGAGTGAACTGGAACCCTCCCCTCCCAGGAGCCGGCGGATGAAATAGTGGGGAGGACAAAGAAGCAACGATGGCCATGGAGCATCAGAAAATTCTACAATTACAGCAGACTAGATGCCAGCAACAGAGGAAGAGACTCTTTTTTGTAGTTGTGGCTGAGGTACAGATATCTTGGGAAAAAGTCAATAGTTTTTCTAAAGTGTACCCTTCCGTTGTTTTTGTGTGTTTTGTTGTTGTTGTTTGTTTGTTTTAAACAAAATCTGGTGGCCGTTTCTTTTGGGAGCTATCAGGCTTCCTGCATCTTCACTTTCAAATGTGAATTCCACACTCAGCTCCTTCCTGGTGATTGGCAGGGGTGTATAACACCTACATGCTCCACACCCCTCTTAATTACGGTGGTAGACACCAGCTGGATTGCTCTCCAGGTTCCAAGCACGCAGATGGCTGGAGTTCACAATCCCAAAGCAGTAACTTTGAAATTCCACAGGAAGCCAAGGAGAGAACGCCAGGCCGTCACCTGTCCCTTTTCTGAGCAACTGCACCGATCTGGATTTTATACCTTCCTGTCTTGCCTCCTTTCAGGCATGAAACAATCCAGGTGCTTGGGTGAAATGCCTCTCGCATCTGCTCTGTTGACATTCCCACCCAAAACATGGGACACCTGAGGTCATCCTACGGCAGCCTGCCTGTGAGACTGTCCCTAAAAGGAGGTCCCATGACGTGTTTCCAATCTGGACTTGCCCAAGGGGCTTCTAGATCCTCGCCCACTTTCAGCCACCTTCAAGCTTTTATGGCAGCTGATGTGTTACATGATAAAAGTGCTCGGAATAACGGACCGCTTTAAAAAATGATGTAGAAAAGACTATTTCAGAAACAGACTAGAAGGGCTAGTGTATTGGACAGAAGTCCTGTGGCACTTAGCTGAGAATTCCATCTCTTTCTGTGCAAGAGAGGCAGGCTGTGACCCTCTATGGAGTCAGAAGTTGGGGATCTGCTCCCGAACACCCCTGGCTTTGTCTAATAGCTTGCAAGCAGCCTGCCATCTGTGGATTAATCTGGACCTGCAGATTTATATTCTCAGTCGGTACTGTGTCTTAGGATGTGGAATACAGCTTGTTTTGTTGTTCCCTAAGGCTGCTTCTTCCCCGTCTTAAGAGATAGTTCCAAAACTTAATGAATAATCTATCCACGTGCCAAATGAGCTACTCAGATTGCACCCTAGCTCTTGTCATCCGGACTAGGGAGTTCTTCCAAATGCCCGTTCTCAAATGGGAGTCTCTACCCGCTCACCAGGCTTTGCTTCCCTTTTATAAGTTGAACTTGTGAGAACCTTTTAGTTTTTTTTTTTTTTTAGGCAGAGTCTGGCTCTGTCGCCCAGGCTGGTGTGCAGTGGCACGATCTCGGCTCACTGCGAGCTCCGCCTCCCAGGTTCACGCCATTCTCCTGCCTCAGCCTCCCGAGTAGCTGGGACTACAGGCTCCCGCCACCACGCCCGGCTAATTTTTTGTATTTTTAGTAGAGACGGGGTTTCACCGTGTTAGCCAGGATGGTCTCGATCTCCTCACCTCGTGATCTGCCCGCCTCGGCCTCCCCAAGTGCTGGGATTACAGGCGTGAGCCACCGCACCTGGCCTGTCAGAACTTTATAGGAACTTCTAGGTTGAAAGAAGTGTTCACTTTGCCCAAGGGTAAGGTGGTACCTTTCACTTTGTTTCAATATTTTCAATATTCTTTCCGATGATGTCCAACACATTTAGTTACTCCTGGTGATCTTAGGCTGAATCTTCTGGCAACAAAGTCCTTACATCCCCTTCCTCAATTATAAACAGTTTCTCCAAGTCTATCATCTCATAAGAATAATTTGAATTATTTTACCCAAAATGTTTCTCCTTGCTCTCATTAAAGCTCCTCTGCTCATTTCTTCCCGTTTATTCTACTTTGATGATTTTTTATTACCTAAAATAATTTAGATTTGTGTACCAATTTGGAGATTTCCCGTGGTACTTTCTTATCTTGAGCCCTTGGGGGAAAAAATAGTTAATGAGGCCAATCCAATACATTTCATAGGGGTTCCTATTATTAACACTTTTCCTTCCAGAGGAAAACGACCACTTATTGCAACTCTATTTACTTTTTAAGACAATTCTCGCCCCATCTCAAAACATTTTCTCTAATCCCAACAAAATTCATTTATTACCTTTCTTTTTTCTTTTTTTTTTTTTTTTTGAGACAGGGTCTTGTTCCTTTGCCCAGGCTCGAGTACAGTGGTACAATCATGGCTCACTGTAGCCTTAACCTCCTGGGCTCAATCAATCCTCCCACCTCAGCCTCCAGAGCAGCTAGGACTACAGGCACATGCCACTAAGTCTGGCTAATTTTTTATTTTTTGTAGAGACAGGGTCTTGCCATGTCACCCAGGCTGGTCTCAAACTCCTGGACCCAAGTGATCCTCCCACCTCGGCCTGCCAAAGTTCTGGGATTACAGGTGTGAGCCACCATGCCTGGCCATCATTTATTGGCTTTAGTGAAATGTAACTGATATATAATAAACTGCACACTTTGATGAGTTTTGTCATATGTATCCACCTGTGAAATCATCACAGTCAAGATCATAAGCAAATCCATTACCCCCAAACATTTCCTCACAGCCCTTTGTAATCGGTTCCTCCCTCCCACCCTCACTTCCCATCAACCACTGATATGCTTCCTGTCACTCTATTAGTTTCTATTGTCTATCCTGCACTGAAGGAAATCACAGCATATGTAGCCTTCCATCTGTAGAGGTGGGATCTGGTTTCCGTCGCTTACCATCATTATTTGAGATTCAGTCATGTTGCGTGTAGCAATCGTTTGAGGATTCTGAAGAGTATCTCACTGAATGGACATCCATGTTTTTTTTGTCTATTCATTTATCAGTTGGTGGATATTTGGGTAGTTTACATTTTGGGGGCTTTGATGAATAACACTGCCATGAACATTCACGGGCAAGTCTCGACGTGAACAAACGCCTTCGTTTCATTTTTCTTTGGTATATACCTAGAGTGAAAGGTCTGGGTGGTATAAGAGTGAAAACTCAATTCCACCGCTTCTGGCATGACACTTTCAAGGTTCTCTAAAAATCAAAATAAAGTATATCCTCTCTTTCTCCTTTATGCATTTTCTCAAAGAAAGTAAACGTAGTTCTCAAAGAACAAGATGAAGAAGTAAAATATATGAGGACTTGAAGTTGTGTCTGTACTTCTTTAGAGCTTTCTGTGTCCTCCAGGACTGCTCAGTCTTAACCTCTGTAAAGTGGCACACAGCAGCTATATGGCCCAGGTGAAAAGCAATCCGTTGGGGACAGGAGGAAACATAATTTCCTCGCTTTTGGGAGCTCTGTGGTGTACAGGTGCTAAAACATTTAAGAGGCTAACCAAATTCATCCAACAGACCAGCTGGGGTGTATTATTTGAGCACACGAAAGGATTTATGGCTCAGAACATAGTGGAAAGTCAAGAAGACTTTCCTGTGTTTTGGTCTTCTGATGCTGTTAGATTTGTTTTAAAATTTATGTAAAATTAGAAAAAATAAAACGAGAGAGGAGAGAGAGAGAAGAGAGTAATGAGAGGGAAAAGTTTGAGGAAAAAAATAATGGGACTAAATTCTTAGAGTCTATGTTTCAGACAAGTCACTTCCTTATCTTGAACAAGGTCAAAGACACAAGGTGAATCACTGATTGGATTTCACGGCTGTGGTGGAGATCTTGTTTGAGTTGTCACCCTCAATGGCTCTTTTGTGAAGGGGGCAATCAAAGAATTAACGGCATGTAATTTTGAAGCTCCAGGTGTATAGGAAATAGTCTTGTTATTTTTAATTTATGAGCTCCTGTAGCAATGGACTTAAGTTAGGACTTTTCCCCCTTGCATGTGTAAAGAAATACTAGTGATGTTTAAATTTACTGCAGCTTGAACAACACTTTGCTTCCCTCCTCCCATTCCCCAGCCAAGCATGATCTAGGCTCCATAAATCAACGTTCCTCACACGCCCGGGTTTAAAGGAAATAAAGAACATGCAAAGTAATAAATCCACTGCAGATCTTTCAGACTATGGTTGGCAATCAGGACCACAGGAGAAGTGTAAAGATTAATGGTATCTATTTTTATTTTCTCTATCTTTAGTGTGAAAGCTAAAACTGAATGCTCAGGATCCTAAGTAACAAATGATATGGGATTCTCTGATTTATCCAAAAGACACGGGGATTACATTCAACACGTTAACAGGTGGGGACACTGAGGAACAAAGGATGGAACACGGGAGCTCGGCAGAGAGAGAGAATGGGTGAGTGCCACCTGAGAGTCTGCAGGTGCAACACCTCAGTAGCCTGAATACTAACAAATAAGTTCCAGGGGCCAGGTGCGGTGGCTCATGCCTGTAATCCCAGCACTTTGGGAGGCCAAGGCTGGCAGATCACTTGAGGCCATCAGTTTGAGACCAGCCTGGGCAACATGGCGGAATCCCATCTCTACTAAAATTACAAAAATTAGCCAGGCATGGTGGCACGTGCCTGTAATCCCAGCTACTTGGGAGGTTGAGGCAGGAGAATCACTTGAACCCAGGAGGTGGAGGTTGCAGTGAGCTGAGGTCATGCCACTGCACTCCAACCTGGACAACAGAGCAAGACTCACAAAAAAAAAAAAAAAAAAGAGAGGGAGAAAGTGAGAGAGAGAAGTAAGTTCCAGGAAGAACCTCAGCCAGTCTCAATATGCACTTGATAAATTGCACTAAATACAAGTTGTTTTCATGTTAAACCTAGTGCTGATTCTTGAGGTGATGAATTTTATGTGTCAACTTGGCTAGGCTACGGTGTCCAGTTGTTTTGTCAAATACTAGTCTAGATGTTGTTGTGAAGGTATTTACTAGATGATATTAACACTTAAAGTCAGTAGACTCTGAGAAAAGCAGATTACCCTCCATTCATGTGGGTGGGCCTCATCCAATCAGTTGAAGGCCTTAAGACTGCCTCTGGACTCCAGGCTGCAACATCAACTCCTGCTGGAATCTCCAGCCATGCCGATTTTGGACTTGCCAACCCCCACGATCACATGAGTCAGCTCTTTAGCTTTGCACACCACAGTGGGGAGGACGGTGGGCAGTTACTTCTCTGAACCTGTTTACAAAATGTCTACATTCCAAATTCAAACTCTCCTTTCCACTGCCACTGCTGACAACCAGGGTGTTGTGTAGGTACCTGGGTGGTTCATCACCCAGCATCAAGCAAGCCCAGGTAGCAGAGGTAGGAGACTGCAAAGAGTGTTTCATTGGCAGAATCTCCCAACTGAGAGTTTAGAATTCAGTGTACAAAGAAAATAGAGAAACTCAGCAAGCTATTTAGAAGAAAACTCTTTTTTTTTTTTTTTGAGACAGAGTCTCACTCTGTCGCCCAGGCTGGAGTGCAGTGACGCAATCTCAGCTCACTGCAACCTCCACCTCCCAGGTTCAAGTGATTCTCCTGTCTCAGCCTCCCAAGTCGCTCGGATTCCAGGTGCGCACCACCACGCCTGGCTAATTTTTGTATTTTTAGTAGGGACGGGGTTTTGTCATGTTGGCCAGGCTGGTCTCGAACTCCTGACCTCGTGATCCACCCACCTTGGCCTCCCAAAGTGCTGAGATTTACAGGCGTGAGCCACTGGGTCCGGCCAACTCCTTTCAGTTGAATAATTCTTGATGCTAAAGCGCTCACCTTAGGGACACACTTGGGCAAGTGTCCTTTGTTCCCAAGGAGCAGTGGCTAGCAGGAAGTGGCCACCTCGGACCTAGGGTGGGCAGCACACTTGCTATCCCTCCTGTCCTGAGCAGAGACTTCCACAGTGCACTGGAACACTGCATCCAGAGTGGAGCTTGGGTATATTTCAACATGGATGAGCTTACTCCGGGAGGAACAGGAGGAAACTGACAAACTTTCCACAGCAGACGCCTTAATGACTATGAGATGCACTTACCAAATGTTTATCATGCGCCAGCCTGGCCCCTGTTCTAAGAGTTGAGGAAGCAATGATGGAATAAGCTAGACAAGTACCTCTTTCCATGGATCTTACATTCTAGGAAGGGAGACAGGCAATGGACTAGTAAGCAAGTGAACCAATAAGACCATTTCTGATAATAATAGGTGCTGGAAAGCCACCTTTAATTTTTAAACAACCTGAAGACACCGGGAGAGCAAAAGCCATACTGGATGGCTTTATGAATTTTTCTGTCTTGAACCTCCATGTCCTTTCTCACTGTCCTATCCTGGGACTGGCTGCCCTGCTGGACTGAGAGCTCCCTGAGGGCGGTGGCTGTCCTCTTGCTCTCCTCGGTGCCTAACACAATACCTGGCATACAGCATGAGCTTACCAAATGCTTGTTGGATGGTTGGGTGGGTGGATGGATGGATGGATGGATGGATGGATGGATGGATGGATGGGTAGATGGAGAGATGGATGGATGGATGGATGGAGAGATGGATGGATGGATGGATGGATGGATGGATGGATGGATGGAGAGATGGATGGATGGATGAATGGGTGGATGGAGAGATGGATGGATGGATGGATGGATGGATGGATGGATGGATGGATGGACAAAAGAGCATATACTTCCAATATCTTATACCAAGTTCCCTCAGACATATCCTTGTACAAGGATGAGGGTGCTGGTAGGTTAACTGGGAGGTGACTCTAGGTAACAGCCATAAGACAGTGAGGAAGGGAGAAGGGAAGGAAGGAAGATACCAGAGTCTGTGTTCTCAAGCAGGTTATGGACACAGACAACTGGGGCTCAATCCTGCCAGGGAAATATGGGAGACAGAGTAGACCATGCCTCAGAATTATCCCCACCTAGAGACAAGAGAGCTGGGGTGTTTATCCACCAACTCCTGCCAGTCTTACCTGGGCCTGCTCCCAAGTGGCCTGCCCCCTGTGTGGGTGCAGGGGGCTCCCACAGCCAGAGGAAACCCTCGGGCAGAGTCACAGGTGCTGGGCCTTGAGAACCATAAGGTTTTGTGCAAGCAAATGATGAGGTGGCAAGGAGTGGGGGAAGAGGGGGACCAGCAGTATCTGCTATGGCCACTAGGTTCTCCCCATGTATTCCCAAGGGACTTGGAGAGAATGGTGAGTGATGGAGCTGCAGAGACAGGGAGAGAAAGGAGGTTCTTGCAGCCCAGCTGGACCCTGGCCAGGTCAGACTTTCTGAAACACTGGAATCACTGACTCTCTTTCACTACCTCTCTCAATTTTTAACCTGATACTTGGAGTTCCTCAAAGGTAAAAACAAAGCAATTATTTTTATCGCTGAACACTTTTAGGTGGTAAGAGTATGCCTAAGAACTTCAGACCAGTTTTTCCATCCCTAGTAAGTGCCTCTAAAATTCAGGATAGCCATGTTACAAAATATTCTGTTTTCTCCACAAATACAACCTTGCCACTTTGATTGAGCACTGAAGAGATGACTATGATAATAAATGGAAACTTATTAGAGAAAAATGAGCCACATTTATATTCTGAAGCACCAAAAAGACTGGAAAGAAATTTTGAGTAATGGTTTATATTTGTTCATTTTTTAAAAAAAAAATCAAAGTGGCTTGCCTGGTACTGATTACATCCCTTTTCACTACAGACCCCCAAGAGAATTTCTCTTTCTTTGTCACTGCCAAGGCCCTTTCTTTCCGTTGCTGGGGTTTAAAAGGACAAACCATGGACTCTTAAGGCTTTGGTTTTGAAGAATGCCAAGAAAATGACATGGGCCATTATTTCTAGGCTTTTGAAATTATATTTCCGGAATCTCAGTGCACTTCATGAACAAGCACACCAGGTGCCAGAAAAAAAAGCATCTAATTGCCATGTGATGCTAAGATCATTTTTTGCATATGCTGAGTAAAATGATAGATGATTATCAGAAATGGTGCACTGCTGAGTCTAACTGTGTTGAAATCAACAATGGAAAATATGCCATTTATCCTTCAGAATTATTTTTATCACTAATACTTGGAATGATGAAAACTCTGATGCTACACAATAAACTGTGCTGCTTGCAAGCACAATCCCATAACTTCTTACTTCTTCTTCTTCTTCTTCTTCTTTTTTTTTTTTTGAGACAGAGTCTTGCTGTGTCACCCAGGCTGGAGGGCAGTGGCGCAATCTCGGCTCACTGCAACCTCCACCTCCCAGGTTCAAGCGATTCTCCTGCCTCAGCCTTCCAAGTAGCTGGGGCTACAGGTGCCCACCACCACGCCCTGTTAATTTTTTTTTTTTTTTTAGTAGAGATGGGGCTTCACTATGTTGGCCAGGCTGGTTTTGAACTCCTGACCTTGTGATCCACCTGCCTCGGCCTCCCAAAGTGCTGGGATTACAGGCGGGAGCCGCCGCACACGGCTCCATAGCTGCTTTTAAATATTTGAGTCTCTTGAAAAGCAAGAGAGATCTAAGTTTTCAAGCATGGTTGATTCATTCTTTCAACATCCATTTATTAATGGATATGATGCAAGCATGATGCTAAGTATGGTGGAGGGAGTTAGACTCAGATAAAAATAAAAGAAGCATTCATCACAGAGTAATAGGACAGAAGAAATAGAAACATTCATTATTTCCCTTTTAGAGGCAAGAAAATAAAAACCTCACCTTCAGGGACATCTCTCAGTATAAAAAGGAGGGATGTCAACCAGACCTCTCCATGCTCCGGTTTTACCGAATTCTAACCGAATTATTCCGGCAGTCCCCCTTACATTCCTCCTTCTTGTACCCTCAACAATGAGCCAATTTCTTATACAGCTGATAGACAATGGCCCTGGACAGATTGGTGTTTTCATCAACCGTGTGATTCATAAGCACGCTGAGCCTCTACCCAACACCACATAATATCACACATCTTTAGTTTCTATAATGTCTTCCACATGATTTTACCCCCAAATGCTTTACATACTTCACGAAGACAGCTATAGAATTAAAATAATAAATCAAAGCAGGGGGACAGAAAGCAAAGAAGTTTATTCAAGGGAAGAAAAGATGGGTTTTCAGCGAGACAGGAAAAAGATGGAGAGCCCTACTTTGTTTGTGCTAGTCCTGTAACTAATAACTCTTTTCTCTGTTTTAAATCTTTCTTTGGTTTATTGTCCCAGGCAGCATCCCTTGTCCCATCCCTTAACAAATCCTCATCTTGAAATGACAACCAGGTACTCCCACTGTAATAAGAATCTCAATTTCCCAACACTGCTTTTTTTCATGCTTTGTTACAATGCTATCCCCCGAAAACATCTGAAAGCTGAAAGAACACTTTAATTCCTGAGCATGTGGTTTGAACTGAGTGGGAAAATTCGCAAACTTCTCCAAGCACTTCAATGCAGGACAATCTGGAGACTTAGCCGCCCATCTCCCATTTGTCTGAGATTCATTCATTCAGCAAATATTCCTAATGTAGCAGGTACCACGCGAGAGGGAGGGGTGCACAGGTGGGATTATTGTAATTTTAAACAGGGAGGTCACAGAGGGCTTTACCAAGGAAGTGGCATTTGAGCAAAGATCTGAAGGAAGGTCTGGTTAAGCCAAGCAGAAGAACAAAGCCTAGGGGGAGGGAATGGCCTTGGCACTTTTAGAGGAAAAGCAAGGAGGTCAATATGCCTAGAGCAGAGTAAGCAAGTGGGAACATGGCAGAGGAAGAGGGCAGGGGACAGATGGTGTGCACAGAGCCTTGTAAGTCACTGAAAAACCTTTTGCTTTTACTGCATGAGACTGAAAGCGATATTTTAGTAACTAACAAAATTAGAAGCATAAACAGTAGTTGGTCAGGCCAGGCGCAGTGGCTCACGCCTGTAATCCCAGGACTTTGGGAGGCCAAGGTGGGTGGAACACAAGGTCAGGAGTTCAAGACCAGCCTGGCCAATATGGTGAAACCCTGTTTCTACTAAAAATATAAAAATTGGCTGGGCGCAGTGGTTCACGCCTGTAATCCCAGCACTTTGGGAGGCTGAGGTGGGTAGATCACAAGGTCAGGAGTTTGAGACCAGCCTGGCCAACATAGTGAAACCCTGTCTCTACTAAAAATAGAAAAAATGAGCTGGGCATGGTGGCGGATGCCTGTAATCCCAGCTACTTGGGAGGCTGAGGCAGGAGAATCGCCTGAAGCCGGGAGGCAGAGGTTGCAGTGAGCCGAGATCGCACCACTGCACCCTAGCCTGGGCGACAATGCAAGACTCTGTCTCAAAAAAAAAAAAAAAAATTAGCTGGGCATGGTGGCGGGCGCCTGCAGTCCTAGCTACTCAGGAGGCTGAGGCAGGAGAATTGCTTGAACCCAGGAAGCAGAGGTTGCAGTGAGCCAAGATCGCACCACTGCACTCCAGCCTGGGCGACGGAGCGAGACTCTGTCTCAAAAAAAAGAGTAGTTGTTCCAAAAGCTTCCCCCTATAGCTTCTGTGGTGCACTTTGTACCCATTCTCTACTTTGGTCTCACATTGAGATCGTTGCATTGAGACTGCTTAGTTAATGACCCCTGTCCATTGCAACCCATCTTGAGTTTGGAGGCAGGAGAGCATGGTGGCTAAGACCATCATTGAGTTATTCAACAAACATTTCTTGAGTGTTCTTTTAGGTGCTGGAGCTTCAGCCAAGAACAAAGACACAAATGTCCCCACCTTATATTTGGAGCTTATATTCTGGCTTGTGGCCTCTGGAATCAGACACCTGGCTCGGATCCCTATGCGTTGCCTACTAGTTGTGTGGACTTGGTCAACTTACTTCTGCCCTCTGTGCTTCAGTTTCCACGTCTAAACAATGGGATAAAAACACGGCCAACTCATGGGGGCTTCTGAAGATTAAATGTGTGTCAAGAACTCAGAATAGTGTGTGGCATATAAGAAGCCCTCAAAAATGTAGGCTATTATGATTATTTTTTTTTCTAAGAGAAGGGTCTCACTCTTGTCGCCTAGGCTGGAGTGCCCTGGTGAGATCGTAGCTCACTGCAGCCTCAACCTCCCGGGCTCAAGCGATCCTCCTGCCCCAGCCCCGCAAGTAGCTAGGATTACAGGTATGTGCCACTGCACTTGGTTGCTTTTTTAAATTTTTCTCCAGATACAGGGTCTTGCTATGTTGCCCAGGCTGGTCTTGAACTCCTGGCCTCAAGCTGTCCTCCCACCTCAGCCTCTCAAAGTACTGGGATTACAAGTTGTGAGCCATGGCACCACCTGGCTGGCCAGTACGATTTTTAAATGAGTCAGTGCTGAAGGAAGGAAACATATTATAGCGGTACTGTATTAGGGTGGTGGTAGAAGTGTAGACCAGGAAACAAATTTACGCAACATATACTAGATAAAATTGCATCCTCTCCTCATCCATTGGTCCTCTCCTTCAGTTCACAGGTTTCTACTCTGCTTTTCCTGAATCTACTCCATGTCACCCCATCCTCCCTCTTCAGCCCCCAGTTCAGATCACGAGGGTATTCACAAAGAAAGAACATTTCCCCTTTTACTTTTATTCACTGTTTTCGTTAATGTCCACTGTGAGTATCACGACAATTCCAGCTTGCTGGCCTTCAGTGAGTCACAAAGTTCTATGGGAACAGAATTCTTAAAGCCCCTCCCCATCTTCTTTTTTCCCTTCAGTCTCTTCCTTATTGTTTGGTACCAGTTTTTCTAGGGCTATAAAACAACAACAAGGCCGGGTGCAGTGGCTCATGCTTGTAATCCCAGCACTTTGGGAGGCCAAGGTGGGCAGATCACCTGAGGTCAGGTGTCCAAGACCAGCCTGGCCAACATGGCAAAACCCCATCTCTACTAAAAAATACAAAAATTAGCCAGGTGTGGTGGCAGGTGCCTGTAATCCCAGCTACTTGGGAGGCTGAGGTGGAAGAATTGCTTGAACCCAGGAGGTGGAGATTGCAGTGAGCCGAGATTGTGCCACTGCAATCTGGGCTGGGAGACAGAGCGAGACTGCAACTCAAAACAAAACAAAAACCAACAAAAAAATGAAACCTCTTCAGAAGATTTAGAGGTGAGCAGTGACCTACCTGGAGCTCTGCTAAAATGCAGCTACTTGAGGGCAGGTTTCTCTCTCCGTATGGGTCACTGATATTTTCCATCACCAATGGCATCTAGTTCGTAACAGGTGAGATTTAAGGGCGAATTGCTCTTCAGCTCCTTCTGTAGGTGGTTTTTGTTCTCAGAGACATGATACCAGATCTTTATAATTGCCACAGAAGGCCTGGACAGTCGTTAGACAGATAACAAAGGGCCACCTAAACAGCCTGTAAAGGTCTCAACGAAAAGTCATCTACTCAAAAGGGAACGTTGAGAATTCATTGAGGACAGAACTCCATCCTTTTTATAGCACGTGCCATCTTCACATTATCTGTAGGATTTGGATGAAGTTTACCAAGGACTATCACATTTTCATTTAATCCTCTCCATAATCCTATAAAGCAGATATGATGATCTCCATTGAACAGAAGCAACGGAAGCTTAGCAAGGTTAAGTTACTTGCCTCAAGTCAGAATGTCAGTGTCTGGCTGAGAATTCAAGCCTGGGCTTCTCCAGCTTTCTGTTTGCTTATTCAATATCCTTCTCTCCTAACCACTGCCCCCCACCCCCGCCCCCACCACAGCATCAATTAAAACAAAAAATGCAAAATGTGCAATAAGAACTAGAATCCTTAACCCTGAGAGTATCTTACAAGAATCCCTGGGATTCTTGAGGCTTGTTGAAATTGCTTTGCCTTCAGACATTCACATCAAGACATGAACTGAGTTTTCAACCTAGGCAAAGCCGTGGAAATGATTCCCAGATGTTGGGAGCCAATTGCCAACACCCCAACCGGCCGCCAGTCAGACAAAGGACTTGTTTAATCAGAAAATGCTCCACCTGACCACATTCCCTGCAGCAGAAGATGGGAAGGGGCCGCAAACGCTGGTCATTTTCTTTAGCGTAGCTCACCATCTCAGAGTGGTGTGTGCCAAGCTATGAATGCCACTTCTGTTACGGACTGCACCCCCAACAACAGAACAGTTGGGGGTTGCTGGGGTTGCATATTGGATGTTAGGGTTATCTATTTGAGGTGTTTTAGGCATGTTTTTAGCAGAAGGGAAAACAGTGTAGACGTTAAATTACAACCACTTTTCCTTCTGTGCTTTCGCTGTCTCATAAGCAACTGAGGAGGTTCAGCTTCACACAGCAAATGCCTGAGACTGTTTTCTAGGGCCCTTGAAATCGGATGGCACTAAATATACCCTTGGTTGCTTCTTAATGTTTTCCTTTCATAAGGTGAGTTAAAGTGAGACCATATTCATAGAACTATGATTCCTAAAAATTCACTTCATCAATATACATGAGTGAGAGTCCCTTCTTTTCCAAGAAATCAACGGAGTATTTTCTAAGCAGAGTAAAGCTACGACCTGTCAGGAATAAATAAATAAATAAGAAACCAGAGGGTAGGGGTTTGCCTTCCAGTTCAGCCCTTCAAAGATCTATGTCCTGACACTGCTTGGCCACCAGTGAAGGAGGCAGGGCCGGCCAGGACAACATGAGCCCAGACATTACCTGCATCCAAGGAGGATTGACAGAGCCCCAGAGGAGGTGGTTCCACCAGGCTGGCACAGTGTTGGCTGGATTTAAGCCCCACTCACTCCTACAATTGGGCGCCCTGGTTCTGTGAATAGATGGCACAATTATGCATGTTGGCCCCGACCACAAGTGTCCCACAGGAAGCTCAATGGTAGCCCTGCTTCCATGGGAAGTCCTGGAATAGGCAGACTGAGATCTGGAATGTGAGAACGAGGGGATACACTGGGGCAAGGAGAAAAGAACAGACACCAAGTCAGAACGGGACCCTGGCAAGTGCAAGGAACTAAGGGTAAGCAAAATATGCTTCAGTGAAAACAAAACAAGAAACAGGAAAAAAAAATAATACAGTGAAGTTCTACAATATGAGCTCCTAAAAGGGCTTTTTCTTTGTTTGTTTGTTTGTTTTGAGACAGAGTCTCACCCTTGCTGTCCAGGCTGGAGTGCAATGGCGTGATCTTGGCTCACCGCAACCTCCACCTCCCGGGTTCAAGTGATTCTCCTGCCTCAGCCTCCCAAGTAGACGGGATTACAGGCGTGCACCACCATGCCTGGCTAATTTTGTATTTTTAGTAGAGACGGGGTTTCTCCATGTTGGTCAAGCTGGTCGCAAACTCCCGACCTCAGGTGATCCTGCCTGCCTCGGCCTCCCGAAGTGCTGGGATTACAGGTGTGAGCCACCACGCCTGGCCTGTTTGTTTTTGTAAAGGCATCATTCTATCATAATGGAAACAGTGCTGGACATTAACTGTTCCAAGTTGTGAAACTGGAGGCAGAACTTGTGCCCTGTCTCTCCACAGTCAATTGACGCCTAGGAGTTGGATCTCAGACACCCAGCTCAATTTTTCCTCCGCCTAGATCACCTGAGACCAATTGTGGTATGTTTAGGGTAGTTTTTCTCTGGTAATATTGTTGATGTATTTCTAAGGGGAAGAAGGGAGCATCCCTAAAGGGAACTGTACCTGACAGAAGAACAAAAGAAGCAGGAACAGTTCCACGCTCCTTCCCATCCTTCTCTGACTTCATCAACTCCAAACATATAACCAAGTACCACTGTTAAGGGCCCAGGGACTAAAGAAAGCCTTCATCATACAAGATCATATATGAAAAGCATTTGCTGAAACCATCACAGCAAGGCGCTATCTGAGTTGCTTCTCAGCGAGAGTGCGGCAATAATGGTCATCAGACCAGTAACAGCTCTCCGTATGGTCACATGAGGATACACAGCACGAAGAGCAGGCCCCACAGGGAACTAACAAGAGAAGCCACGTGGTCCTGAAGGCAGGGCCTGGGAGCCAGAGGTCAGTCCTCTCTGCTCAGCCTAGCCCTGACCCCAGGGCCTGAGCGGGGCTTGGTTTTAACACTACGGCAACCTCTGGACCCAAGGGGATACTGGTCAAATCAGTCATACAACAGTCAGTGACATGCTCAAGAGGACTGAAGAATGCTGTTCAGGTAACACAGGGAGCCAT